>NC_000010.11:16979696-17131212 GCF_000001405.40 Homo sapiens | reverse complement strand
GCTGGGACTACAGGCGCCCGCCACTAAGCCCGGCTAATTTTTTGTATTTGTAGTAGAGACGGGGTTTCACCACGTTAGCCAGGATGTTCTCGATCTCCTGACCTCGTGATCCGCCCGCCTCGGCCTCCCAAAGTGCTGGGATTACAGGCGTGAGCCACCGCGCCCGGCATAAGTAAAGAATTATAAGCTATGGTACATAATGATCCTCTCCTCAAAGAGCCTACATAAGTAAGACACAAAATAAGTAAAACACAAACAGGCTTGTCCTGAAAGAGCCTGCATGGGTATTAACCAATGCAATGGTAATTACCTAGAGATTTTTCTTAGAAGTGAAATTTTTACAGCTCTCCCTCAAATTCAGTTTTGTCTGTGTGCTCATGGAAAGTCTGAGTGCATCAATAGTTGATTTTACAATCGAAATGTAGAATATTTTCATCACTCTCAGTGGTTTCTGTAGTCCCAGCACAGAGTGAGTGGGGACATCAGTGCTCCATGTCCTCAAACCATATATCCAGCTGGAAGGGTGTATAGCGCAGTGTGGAAAGTGGGAATGGATTCCACAGCCGTCCATAGGTCCCACAGGGATGATAAAAAGTAAAAAGTACAAATTCTTTGTACATTCTGGATATTAACCCATTTTCATATATATATGATTTGCAAATATTTTCTTCCATTCTGGGAGTTGCTTTTTCACTCTGTTGATGTATTTTTTGATGCACAAACGTTTTTAATTTTGATGTATTCCAATTTATATCTTTTGGTTGTCTGTGTGTTTTTCTTTTTTTGCCCATGCTTTTGGTATCATACTCAAGAAATCATTGCCAAATCCAAAATCCAAGGTCATGAATTTTTGTCCTATTCTTCTGAGTTTTATGTTATAGTTTCAGATTTTTTGAACCATTGTGAGTTAATTTTATAGTTTTAGCTCTTAGATTTAGATCTTTGAACTTTTTTGAGTTAATTTTTGCATATGGTATGAGGTAAGCCTCCAACTTCTTTTGCATGTGGATATCTAGTTTTCCTAGCGCTGGGTAAAGGTGGAACTCCTCTGCAAGGGAGGTGAGGAAGGAGGGGAACAGAGAAAGGTGTAGATAATGACCAGTTTACTTTTGTTGAAACCTAGTTACTTCTTAAGCAAAGATTGTTTAAGTGGATGTTTTCAAAGCTGCTTGTTACTGTTTCAAAGGTCAAATAGATAATGATTAAGTTGCGCATCACTTAAGGTAGATTTTGACCTCTCACAAGTTGAAGAGTACTGAAGATCTAAGATCATTTACATCCCTCTGGAAGAAAAAATAACATAGCCTTCTAGGGCAAAGAAGAAAAAACTCAACAGTTACAGGATATTCCATGGTTCAAAGTACACCTGCCTGGTTTGCTGTTCTCCAAAATCCCATGCTCAGTTGGTTGGAGTGGCCTCACTCTTACCTGCCAACCTGGGAGGTTGATGATGAACATGTCTTTACCTTTTCTTTGGAGTTTGCTTACCTTATTAATATTTGCTGAAGTAAATGGCGAAGCTGGAGAACTTGAGCTGCAGAGACAAAAAAGAAGCATCAATCTCCAACAGTAAGTAAACACATGGGTCATTCCTGCTCAGGGACTAGGCTAATTCCTCACCAGTTTTCCCAAATAGCCAGATAAACAAAGGTGCAATTTTTCTTGAGGAAAATTATGTTGAGAAGCAAACAGGGAAAAACATTTAGACTGAGGTATGAAATTACTTTCCTATGCACAAATTATTATCTGTCATTTTGCAAATAATCTGTTTGCAATTGCCAGGAGGTATCTCTGAGAAATGTGCAGAGAAAAAAGTGGCAGATGAGCAGGGGCAGTTGGGTTGAGATGATCAAAAAGTGAAGATGTATTTGGCCTGTAGTTATTCAGTAAGAAACTTTGTTATTTTGGTTTAAAAATTGTACTTGCTAATTACTGATGCATTCTCTCGTTTGAATTATATAGGCCTCGAATGGCTACAGAGAGAGGAAATTTGGTGTTTCTTACGGGGTCTGCTCAAAACATTGAGTTTAGAACCGGATCCCTGGGAAAAATTAAATTAAATGATGAAGATCTCAGTGAGTGTTTACATCAGGTAATACACTGGAAATATATTGAAGTCATTTTGTATATCCATATACGGTGACTTAATTGAACAAGTCTAGATTAATCTGTACCTTGAATCTTTTTTAATTATTATTTTTTATTAATACATAATTTGATACATTCCTATAATGTGTAAAGTTCAAATCAGGGTAATTGGGATATCCATCACCTTAAATATTTACCTTTTCTTCATGCTAAGAACATATGAATTGTTCTCTTCTAGTTATTTTGAAATGTACAATAGATTAATGTTAACTATAGTCACCCTACTGGTCTATCAAACACTAGGTCTTATTTCTTCTATCTAACTATATATTGTATTCATTAATCAACCTGTCTTCAGCCTCCCTCCCCCTTCCTAGTGTACCTTGAATCTTTAGCATAGAGAACATAATTGGGCATCAGACATGTTCTTGTAAAGGACGATGGCCTGGGGTTAATAGTGGGTAGAGGGAGTATGCTAAAAGATAGAAGCTCATTGTGCCAGACAATGCACCCTAGTCCAGAGAAGGCACGGAGGGTGGAACTGAAACTCCTCCACAGGGGATGCGAGGAAGTAGGGGACCAAGGATATGTGGACATGTGACCAGTTTGCTTTTGCCACAGAACAGAATTGGCCAGTTATTCTCCTGCCTTACTGGGTGTTTTCATTTCCCAATAATCACTGCATATTTCAGTCATAATGTTAGAAGTCAGCATTATTCAGAGCTTACTGTGGGCCATCCACTGTGCTTAGCACCGTATGGATGTTATCTCATTTGACCTTCACAGCTGTCCTATGAGGTGGCCTTTATTGTCACCCTAGTTTTACAAGAGGTAAAGAAACCCTGAAGCAGTTAGGTAACTTGCCCAGGACAGCAATAAATAGCTGAGCCAGGACTTAAAACCTAAACAGTCTGCTTCCAAGCCAGGTTTCTTAATAAGCACCCTAAACTGGTATTATAGGAAAACATACAAATGGAAAATACCTTGATCTATTGTTACTGAAAAGGATAAGTGGAATTATGCTGTGGCTATTTTAGCCCAGTGTTTATTACGCATGGTGTTGTTTTGGTTTTTATAATAATAGGCAAGATCTTAGTGCTTAAAGTAGAATACTACTCAAGTTTTTAATTATGTTACTGTAAAGATAAATATGATATTTTCACTAGTGCTCTTCATTTCTTCTTCTTTTTCTAAAATTAGATCCAGAAAAACAAAGAAGATATTATAGAGTTAAAAGGGAGTGCAATTGGTCTGCCTCAAAATATATCTAGTCAAATCTATCAGCTTAATTCCAAGGTAAGTCTGACATCTACGTCATAAGAACCGATGAGTTCTCCCTAGTTCTATTGTATAAGTAACCGTTTTGTAGGGGATATACCAACTTTGTGTGCTCTTTAGAGATTTAGCATGTAACTACTCACTGTTTGGTTAAATGACACAGCTGTAATGGAGGCTGTAGAAGTGATGGACAGAAGGCAGGAAATGCTGTGCAAGCACTTGTTGCAGAAGTAGGCCTTGGGCTGGGAGCAGTGGCTCACTGCAAGTGAATGGATGATTAATATAAAAAACTGCCTGTAATCCCAGCAGTTTGGGAGGCCACAGAGGGAGGGTCGCTTGAGCCTAGGAGTTTGAGACCAGCCTGGGCCACATAGTGAGACTCCGTCTCTACCAAAAAAAAAAAAAAAAAAAAAAATAGCTGGGCATGGTGGCATGAGCCTGTACTCACAGCTACTTGGGAGGCTGAAGTGGGAGGATGGCTTGAGCCAGGGAGGTTGAGACTGCAGTGAGCTATGATCATGCCACTGTGCTCCAGCCCAGGCAACAGAGTGGGACCTTGCCAGAAAAAAAAAAAAAAAAAAAGAAAGAGAGAGAGAGAGACAGAAAGAGAGAGAGAGACAGAGAGAGAGAGAGAAAGAAAGACAGAGTGAAAGAAAGAGAGAGAGAGAAAGAAAGAAAGGAAGAAAGAAAGAAAAGAAGCCTTGCTGAAGTTCTGAGAGCAATCTTCTTATTGGGGAAGTGGATGCATCACTGACATTTATGAACATTTCCATAGTCACTGCCTACAGAGAAGCAATCGGTCAACTTATCAGTGGGTTGTACTTTAAAAAAAAACTTAAAAAAACCCCAGAAATCTATGTGATAGGAGGGAATAGGAAGGAAGAAAATCCTGAGGGGAGAGGAATGAAGAGGAAAAAGGGAATAAAAGGAGGAATGAACAAAGTGTGTCCCTAGCAGAGGGCATTAGGACAATATGTCAAGGATATAACATCACATGTGCAATGCCTTTGAACCAGCTAACTGAAGCTTTTTCTTCCCTATTGCCAGCTGGTGGATCTTGAGAGAAAATTCCAAGGCTTGCAGCAGGTAGGTCTCATGCTACTACATACCCAAATCTTTCACAGAAAACATACTAGAATCATTAATAGAGCTGCTATTCTTATTTTGAAGGTGAATGGATGATTAATATTAAAAACTTGCTTTTTCCCATAATTTAATTCTCATCCCAGCATGTGCTTCCCAGGATGCAGATGCAGAGCTGAGTCTAAGACAGATGAAATGACAAGGCTGAGGTCTCCGAGCCTGTTAGGGCTTCTGACCCTGAGTTTGCAGCCCACAGCCCACATCCTTTACCATCACCCTTTAGCTGTGTGTGCTGTGCTTGGTCAGCTAGTGATCTCCCAACTTGCTGATTCTCCCATCAGGGACTGGGGCTCGGAAAGCAAGCATCCTCTCTGACGCTAAGCTCGGAAGTCTAGGTGTATCACAAAATAGTCCGAATTTTCTTAAAATGACATTTGCTGGTAATTAAACTTGAACAGTTTCTTACAGAAAACATTGTATAACTGTACTACATGCTTGTAGACTGATCTATGTAAACTTAGGCTTCTTACCCCTTTTGTAGGAAGCTGACCTTTTAAAGACTTTCATGGAAGCTGTAACCTTCTATGCAGAGAAATGTACAGAATCTCTTCATGTTTAAAATTTTGCATAAAAATCTGGGGATTCCAGTGTAAGAATTTCTGCAAAAATATTCTTCATCTGTTTTGCTCATGCTTCAAGCATTTTCCTCTACTTTTAAGTTTGATCTGTCCCACTGTGAAGGACAGATACAAAAAAAAGGACTCATGCAGATTGAGGCAGGTCCCACCATTCTGGCAAGGATTGCTGCTGCAAACCTTTTTGTCATTTGATGATCAAGTTCGTGTATTCCTTTTCTCCACTTAGATAATACATTGACCCCTCAGCTGTCATTTTTAAGAGAGTAGTTAAGCGAAAGAAAATGAGTAAAGAATAGTGCTGTGGACCGTGACACTGCACTCAAGTTTTGTCTCCTGGAGGGCTTCATTATATTCGCTCAGCCAGTCCTCCTACCCTCATCCCTCAGGAGGAATGTTGAATGATTTTCAAATGTGAATGCTTTGTGCCTTTGGATAGGGCAAATGCTCTCTGGCCACCACAGTCCCCACCACTCCCTATTGTCTTCCTCCTGACTCCTGATTTCATTTTCTACTAGGCCCCTGTAGGCTTTTAAGATTTTAGTCCCCAGACAGTGTTGCTTTTGTCTGACAGAAAACCTTTGAATGAGTTTGTGGTTAATGTTTTAAAGAGCATTCTATGATGGACAGAGCCAATTGTTGTGCTAGCACAAAGAGAAAAATAGAATAATGGAATAAAACAGGGTTCATAAAGAGACCCCCAGACGTGTGGTCATCTAATTTATGACCAAAGTGGAGAAGGAATGTGCTTTGCAGAAAATGGTATTGAGTCAGTTGGCTATCCTCTGGCTTTCTATTTCATCCATAAAATGAAGGAAACAGACGTAATTTTTTTTTATGAGTCACTGTATATAGTATGTTGTATTTGTATGTGTGTGTGTATGTATGTGCATATATATAGACACATATATAATATATATGTATGTGTGTGCATACATATATATGAAATGTAATCAACAGTTTGCCCCTATTTTAACTTTTTAAAAGCAGAGAATTAGGTTGGGTACGGTGGCTCACGCCTGTAATCCCAGCACTTTAGGAGGCCGAGGCAGGTGGATCATGTGAGGTCGGGAGTTTGAGATCAGCCTGGTCAACATGGTGGAACCCTGTCTCTACTAAAAATAGGAAAATTAGCCAGGCGTAGTGGGACATTCCTGTAGTCCCAGCTACTGAGGAGGCTGAGGCATGAGAATCGCTTCAACCCAAGAGGTGGAGGTTGCAGTGAGCTGAGATCATACCACTGCACTCCAGCCTGGGTGACAGACCGAGGCTCCATCTCAAAAACAAACAAACAAACAAAACAACGATACCAACCAAAACCCAGACAATTGGACTATGAGTGAAATTCATAAAGTGGCCATCATTGCATAATCAAGTGTTCCCTCTAAAGAAGTTTTCTCTGGCTGGGCGCGGTGGCTCACACCTGTAATCCCAGCACTTTAGGAGGCTGAGGCGGGCGGATCACGAGGTCAGGAGATCGAGACCATCCTGGCTAACACGGTGAAACCCCGTCTCTACTAAAAATACAAAAAATTAGCTGGGCGTGGTGGCGGGCGCCTGTAGTCCCAGCTACTTAGGAGGCTGAGGCAGGAGAATGGCATGGACCCAGGAGGCAGCGCCTGCAGTGAGCGGAGATCGCGCCACTGCACTCCAGCCTGGGCGACAGAGCAAGACTCCGTCTCAAAAAAAAGAAAAAAAAATCAAAAAGAAAAGAAAAAAGAAAAAAGAAAAAAAAGAAGTTTTCTCTGCACCCAAAGGCAGTAAAAATCTTAACAAGATTCAAACTGGTAGCTGACATAGGGTCAGATTCCCCAGGTTATGTAGATGTAGATGTAGACAAAGGTAGGTCTGTTTGTGATCTGGGCTGAAAGCAGTCAGGTGAGCACCAGGGTGAAAGATATGTCTTAGCTGGCCACATTTCTAACAAAGGGACTTGGAGCAGGAGTTCAGTCACCTTAACCCATGGGAGGAGGGGCAGCAGCAGCAGATGATTATATTTCAAAGGCTCACCTCGAGGGACCAAAGATAAGAATCACCGGTAAAATAACCGGAATCTCCATTTTATTTTCTTTGTGCAATAGCAACATCCATTATTATTTCCACACCTGAAACCTTTACTCCTGTCCACTGAGGTCTCTTTCTCAGGTGAGAATAATACTTTTCCAAGACAAAGTGAGAATCTTCTCCCCTCAGACTTCATCCCACCCGTGGTCAAAAGCATGCTGAGAGTTAAGGAATAGGAACAAGATTGATAATAGAAAATGCTTTCTGTTTTTTCACAAGAGAGGTGATTTGAAGAAGAACATAAGTAATGGCTTTAAAGTGTAGAAGGAGACCCCCACTGATTAAGAGTTAAATGTAATCCCACGTGCACGGTAACATGCGTTTTGTTGCTGCTGACTGCAAGTCATCTCATTGACTGTCCTGTTTTTGTTTCAGACTGTTGACAAAAAGGTTTGCAGCAGCAATCCTTGCCAGAATGGTGGAACCTGCCTCAATCTGCATGATTCCTTTTTTTGTATCTGTCCCCCACAGTGGAAGGTGAGTCATCTACTCTTTGGTTAAGAATGATGGCAGGTCAGCATCTGTGGTTTCCTTGGAATCATCAGGCATATTTAATTCTCCATCTAAAGTTTCTAGGATTCTGTGGCCTCCCAAATCAAATTGAAATATACCAGGTATGCTAAAACCCAAACAGTGGTGAGTATGATTGTATAACCCACCAAATACTAAAGCCATTGAAAGGAGAGGTTCACTTGATTGGATAACTGCCTGGAAGAACACAATATTTCTGTTAACATTAATTTAAATTGTTCAGCATTGGAAAGTACCAAACAAATCTTGACATACCTATGCAAATTTTCTCATTTTCTTTGTTTGTTTATTTTTTCTGATAACGATGGAAACTGTCTCCAGCATGCACATAAAAAAAAAAGTTAAGTAAGTATTCCCAGATGTAGCACCACTGTGAACTGAGGATTCTATTATGTTTAGATAAGGATTCCTCTCCTGTGACTGCTGTGATCTTATGAAGAGCTCTTGTGTTCTATTAGGTGAAATCTGAGTTCCAGAGGAAGAATAGCCAGGGGTTAATATCAGTATTATTGTATTTGACTTTATGAGGACTTATATACTGTCCACGTATAAATCCTTAAACGTATCATGTGAATGTTCGCTCCAGATACCTCTGTGACCTTTGGCACCTGACTTTGTTCCTTATATGATCACAGGGTCCTCTCTGCTCAGCTGATGTTAACGAATGTGAGATTTACTCAGGAACACCCTTGAGCTGCCAGAATGGAGGCACATGTGTTAATACAATGGGAAGTTACAGGTAACTTTTTTTTTTTTTTTTGGTAAATATCAGTATATTTTTGAAGGCCTAAAACATCCCATAGTTAAGAGCATCCTAAATTAACTATCTGTATTCCACCAAAAGTTGGTACTCCATGAGGAAATATTTAGCTCTTGCTTAACGTCTACATAGCTATTTTTACTTAACTGAAGAAAAGCTCATGAGTCCTTTACTCTCACCCCGTGAAGAAATCCTTGCTCTAACATCCCCAAGGAACCGGAAGAAGGCTCCCGTGATTGGCACAGAGAGTAAGCATGGCCTGGTGCAAAAGGAGCTGAAGACTTAGGAAGAGCCGGAGCATTGAAGGGGAGCCACTGAATGGCCTTAAGTAGAAAAGGGGACACCCCACCACACCAGTGTCCCCAGCTGTACTCTTTCCATGTATTAGCAAGCTCATAGTTTTGGGTAAAGAGAGCTTTATTCAATGCTATGTCAAAATGTGACCATAACGAGGTCAAAGATTAAACTGAGGTTCAATGAATGAAGTAACTCTCTCTGACCACAGTCATCATTATCAGTACAGCTCTATCTTCTCTTCTGACTTATTCTGTCAAGTGACTTGTCCACAGAATTCTCCTGCTCAGCTCAGGCATCACTTTCTGCAGGAAACTTTCCCTTCCCTTTTTAAGCAGAGTGAGGCATCTCAGGGCCTCTATGTTCCCATCATGCTCTAGGGATATCCATCGTCAAAGCTTTGCTGATGCCACACACATTGTCTTTCTAAAAACGAAGTCCAAAAAATTAAGGCAGATCAATGCCAAACTTACTTTTGTACAGTTCTTTGAAGTCACCTTTTAAACTAGACAGTGTCTTTCCTTATAGTTTGGCTGGTCTCTTTTATTTTGTGATTTTTAAAAGATTAATAAATAAATTCTGCTATAGAATGAACAAATCCTTTCAATGCTCTGGAGTAGAATCTCACTGGATTGAAGAGCAATTATTTGCTCTCTTACTGGTGTCTCTGCTATCTTGTTCTTCAATTTCCACATAACAATATCCATTCTAGTCTTTCCAGCAAAAATGAGTGCAGTAATTTTGTTTTTTAAACCATCACTATTTTTTTTAAATTTTATTATTATTATACTTTAAGTTTTAGGGTACATGTGCACAATGTTCAGGTTTGTTACTTATGTATACATGTGCCATGTTGGTGTGCTGCATCCATTAACTCGTCATTTAGCATTAGGTATATCTCCTAATGCTATCCCTCCACCCTCCCCCCACCCCACAACAGTCCCCGGTGTGTGATGTTCCCCTTCCTGTGTCCATGTGTTCTCATTGTTCAGTTCCCACCTATGAGTGAGAACATGCGGTGTTTGGTTTTTTGTCCTTGTGATAGTTTGCTGAGAATGATGGTTTCCAGCTTCATCCATGTCCCTACAAAGGACATGAACTCATCATTTTTTTATGGCTGCATAGTATTCCATGTTAAACCATCACTATTAATGCACACTTCTAAAAATGCAGTCACAAACCTTCTCTTTTTATTTGATACTTTTGTTTTTTTGATCTGATCTTTAAAACTTTTACTCATTCCAGGTTATAAACTCAAATTATTCAAACTTCTACTAGATATGTCTATGAGTTCAATCATTATGCAAAAGTAAAATTAACCACTTCTGACTTAAATTTAGTGTTATGTTATTAAAGAGCTTTTTGATTCCAGGACTCTGTTTCTCATTTAAATGAAGCCTTTTTTCCCTGCCTTTGTTAGGCTTGGGCTGGAAGCAAAATGCAGTCTAGTCTCTCATTTCCGTGAACCCATTATCTCCTGATTTCTGTTTATGGGCATTTATCAAGGAGGATTGCTACATAGAGGCATTGGTGGCAAATGTCCAGGCTCCTAGAACTTCTGCTTTCTGACCTTCCTGATATCTAGGAATGTTACAGAGATTAGATTTCACTCCTAGTCTTCCTTTATCATCACTGTCTTTTGGAGTCTTGTGGGCCAATAGAGCGACAAGTATGGGCAAACTGTGATGAGATCCATAGACCAAGATAAAGGCTGTTGCTGTTTTCAGCACGTTATTTCTTCCCCCTGCAAAATGAAAAACAAAACAAAAACCCTTTTACTATTTACCACTCTGCAGCATGTCAGAGGTTAGAGTTCTTTATCCACACACACATATGACAGAATGAGAGCTAGGAGGAAAGGAACCATTTATTTGTTGAAAGCTGCATTTCTAAATGACAGATTCAACTTTGTAAGAACAGTACGAAATTCTCTCTTGCACTCTTTTATAAAGGAGAGCAAGAATACAGAAGAACTGATGATGTGTGGATGGCTTTGGAAATGATCTTGATTCCTAGACTCTGCCCTTCATAGATTTGCTGGAGGACATTAGAGAACAGAGCATTTAAATCAGGGTTCTTTCTCTTGATATGGGAATAGTTTCTGAAACCTCATGAATTCCATTTCATTATCTACACTTTAAGTCCCGTAATTCAGGCATATGTTAGAGACTTTTTGAGGGAATAAAAGAAAATGAAAAAAGGTGCATGAGCATAAGATTAAATTATTGCTTTGTGGAATCCACGTGTAATGAAACAAGTGAACATTTAGATACTTTCTTGAGTTCTGTTAATTATGTGAGGTTAAATCCTTGTTAATCAGGGTATTCACTGAGGCTAGAAAACCCTTTGGGAAATTTCAGCACACATTAGCTAAAAGAAAACTTGAGCCTCAGAATCATCTGGACCTGCAAAAATGTAGTCATGGCATCAAAGTTCGCTTTGGAGTTTGGACCTCATTCAGTTTCTTTAACTCTTTGAGCTCTTTTACTTGGACGGAAAAAGGAGTCTTTAACTGGATTAATAATTTGCCATTGTAAAGACCTCTGAAAAGGTGCAGATACTCATTCATGGAAAGTCCTGTTTCATACCTGTTTCATAGGTAAACTTCTGGTGGAAATTCTTTTTTAGAACAATGATTATAGCACAAGAAACATCATTTTCTGTTTCCACTGATTCTTTTGGCTTGAGGTCTAGACCCAGAGCTTCAGACAACTAACACAATTACATTTCGCCACTTCTCCATGCTGTTACTCCCTCTTTGTTCTGAAGACGTGATTCTTGTTGTTTCCCTGCTCACTTTGTTTTGTTTTGTTTGTTTTTGTTTGTTTGTTTTTGAGACAGAGTCTTGCTCTTGTCACCCAGGCTGGAGTGCAATTGCTGCAACCTCTGCATCCTGGGTACAAGCAATTCTCCTACCTCAGCCTCCCGAGTAGCTGGGATTACAGGCACCTGACACCATACCCGGCTAATTTTTGTATTTTTAGTAGAGATGGGGTTTCACCATGTTGGCCAGGCTGGTCTCAAACTCCTGACCTCAGGTGATCTGCCCGCTTCAGCCACCCAAAGTGCTGGGATTACAGGCGTGAGCCACCGTGCCCAGCCTCCCCTGCTTACTTTGGATTTAAGACAGCCCTTGGGATCTGAGCTTGCCATGCATGGATGGTGTGTGTTGTACATTTAGGGCTCAGATCTAGAAGGCTTTCCAGAAAAACAAAAAGTTGAGTTTCTCTGGTTTTCCAGAAACATGATGATTAGTAAATTTTATTTCACTTATTTCCATTCATATCACTGGTAGATTTTACATCATGCAGAGTTTAAACAATGAGGATAATCTAGTTTTAGCTCAGGTGGTAGTTAGGTATTAAACTTATTACCTTTTTCACTCAGTCAGTAAAATTAGTATTGAACCATGGACTCTAACACAAGTTAAACTATGACTATCCAAGTGTGTTTAACCTCTTCTCAATTGCCAAAATGCACTTGCAGTGTTTTCAAAGAAAAGCCTAGATTTGTTCTGCTGGAACCAAGTTGGCAATAAAAGGTCATAGAAAAGACACTTCTGCTATATCAGTAACTAATAACTAAAGCAGGAATAGTAGTAAGTTGGTTTTAAAAATACAATATATGGCTTTTATTTTCACTTAGGGAGGTATATAAGTAATTGTTCATTTTTAAAGGCCATATCAAGACACCTTGAAAATATATTTTGCCTGTTAACCCTGTTATGTTTAAAAGGTACATGAGGCTGGGCACGGTGGCTCACACCTGTAATCCCAGCATTTTGGGAGGCCGAGGTGGGTGGATCACCTGATGTCAGGAGTTCGAGACCAGCCTTGCTAACATGGTGAAACCCTGTCTCTACCAAAAAATGCAATACTTAGCTTACGTGCTGGCACGCATCTGTAGTCCCAGCTACTTGAGAGGCAGAGGTGGGAAGATCGCTTGAACCTGGGAGGCAGATGTTGCAGTGAGCCGAGATCGCACCACTGCACTCCGCCTGGGCACAAGACCCTGTCTCAAAACAAAACGAAACAAAACAAAACAAAAAGGTGCATAAAAATGCAGCATCTTCATATAACTCTACTTATCAGAATGTAAGAATATAACATGCAGGAACAATGGTGCAGGAGTCGGGTAGACCTAAGTGTCTATTTATCTTCTGCCAATTATTCATTTTGTGGTTTTGGGAAATGTTAGTCTGTAAAATGGGATTAATAATACTTGTCTTTGAGGATCATAGGAAGGAATCCTATGGTTTACTTGAGTTTCTTCCTCCCTTTCTCTATCTTCTCACATCATCTAAACTTAAGTGAAAGAAGTATACTCTGTAGCTATTTAGAGAACAGTATAGGATTAATGCCTACTCATCTCCCAGTGATAATAGCAAGGATGAAGGAAGAGAGAGATAAAGAGAAAGGATTTAACTGCAGGTCCATGAACCAGAATCTCCTCTCAAATCTTATGTCATTTTGCAATAGTTAAGCACTTAGTGATAAAATAAAGACAATCTTCTTAGCACTTGCTACAGGGGAATGCCTGTAGACTGCAATATGACCATAATTCACAGAGATTACCACTATTATTTCATAAGAAATTGAGGCAGAGGGAGTTAGTACATTGTCTGGGTAAACAGTTAACAGGAAGGACCAAAATTTAAACCTAGGCAATCTTATCCCAGGGGTTTCCAAACACTCAGATCTCCCAGACATAGAAAATAGAAAGCTAGTAACAGTTGGTTTAAAGATTCTTCAGCAGGGTGCGGTGGCTCACGCCTGTAATCCCAGGACTTTGGGAGGCCGAGGTGGGCAGATCACCTGAGGTCAAGAGTTCGAGACCAGCCTCTACCTCTAGAAAAGAGACTTCTGCTAAATCAGTAACTAATCAATTGGTTTCACCACATGGTGAAAACCCATCTCTACTAAAAAAAGAAATAAAAAATTAGCCGGGTGTGGTGGCACGCACCTGTAGTCCCAGCTACTCGGGAGGCTGAAGCAGGAGAATTGCTTGAACCTGGGAGGCGGAGGTTGCAGTGAGCTGAGATCATGCCACTGCAGTCCAGCCTGGGTGACAGAGTGAGACTCCATCTCAAAAAAAACAAAAACAAAAATAAAAAAGATTCTTAAACATTGTTGGGAGGTGTTGGGACAGGTGGCAAAGTAAACTTTTAGTAATGAAGTCTCCTGGATCAAATGCTCAAATATGTGTATGAACTGTTTTAAAGTTCCATAATCCTCAAGAGTCTAATTAAATTCTCTATACAAATATTCTATGTAAAGATGGGAGGACAAAGAGGAAAGAAAACAATATGAGAAGGAAAGTAGAGAGAGATGCGGGGAATATAAATGTCTATGGGGGGGATGGATAATTCAATTTCTCTTTAATTTTAATCATTTATTGTTATTTTCCTATGACTTTATCTTAGTGAGCCGTTCCAAAGGCAACTTTGGAATGCTCAGAAATGTCATATATTAATGAATCAGCTTTTATGTAAATATATACTGATGTCGTAAATTGCATGGAACATATTTATACCAAAAAATATTCATTTATTGGAAACTCACATTTATTTGGGCATGCTGTATTTTTATTTGCTAAGTCTGGCCTCCCGACTTGAATGCATGGATGGTGCTCCCTGCATTCTTATTCTCCATTTCTGGCCACACTCATTGCTCTCCTCTTCCTTAGAAACTGCCAAAAAGCTGCCACCCCAGCAATTGGTTCTGGGGCCCACCACAGGCAAGCCGAATCCTGTGCCTGGAGGTTGGTTCTTGATGCCTTTCAAACAGTCAAATGCTAATTTCCCACAATGTCGTTCATACATTGTCATCCATGAACATTACTAAGCTCCTTGTACCTCACTGTGTCTTGTTAAAATAGCTCTTTTCCTTTGTAGAATGGCATGGGAGGGAGGCCTGGCCACGCAGGCACGCCCTGTTCCTTGTCTCTGACCCCTGGCACCAACAGTCATTTCCCCCATGAGAGCTTTTCTTGCCAATTCTGCTCAAGTCCGGCAATCGGCAACCTCTGGGCCTGGCCCTACCTCTCCATCAGATGTGCCCTGGCATGTGGGGATAGGCTTAGGCTTCTGGGACTCCTCTACCCTCCTCCTCCCCTAGCTCCCATGCTCAGATCATAGAAGTTCCCATTAAGCTGCAGAGATAAGGCTAAAGCAGCTTTAACAATGACAAGGGCTTAAAACAACATTGCTTATTTGATTATCATTGGACTTAAATCTTCTAGTAACAAAGCACCCACTGCTAGCTTACGCATAGTGTAATAATTACCACATTTTGTTGGAAATTCAAGTGTGGCTATGAAAGAAATGCCACTGTATTATATTATATAACTACGCTTTTTATGGATAGAAGACATATTGCCCTTTGTAAGATAATAATAATGATCATAGACTGTGAGGTGTGGACACTGGATTGCGTGTGGGGTTATATAATCCTAGAGAGCATTCAGAGTTATCAGTGTAGCCCACGTTGCCTGTGCTTCATGGCAGGTCCAATTGGACAGATGATGAATGGATTTGCTGATCTCTCCCTTTACCTTCTTGAACTAACTCCATTACCTTTGGCTTATACACATCTGACCTTTGAAAATGCTGTTTGATGACCTGATAACACAAGAATTTATAGTGCTAGGCTTACCAGATAATAAGTTGTGATTCACCAACATTGTATTTACTCAATCCACCACTTGGAGCACAGCAGAGTGATTTTCTCCCGAGACTCCAGTCAGTAAATTTGCATTGCTGGCTGACGATTCCAAGTTAACATCGTTGATTTGTAATTTGAATTATTTTTCTCATTGATATTAAGAGACAGGCACTGGCCCCAAAGCGCGTGCCCTGACATTGTGCTCTTGTGTAACCAACAGTTGTCACTGCCCACCTGAGACGTACGGACCCCAGTGTGCATCCAAATATGACGACTGTGAAGGGGGTTCTGTGGCACGCTGTGTCCATGGCATCTGTGAGGATTTAATGCGAGAGCAAGCTGGAGAGGTGGGTCCCTTCCCCAAATGTGCCTCCTTGCAGAGAGCCATGGTTAGTAGCTCCTCCTCCTCCTATGCCCACTGCATACAAGCACTACCTGGAGCTTACAGAGGTGAAGTCACTTCCTGTCTGTAAGTAGGACATAGGCGAGGAGGGGAGATGAACTATGCAGGAAGTAGGACCCAGAGATTAAGATGTCATTATGTAAAATAGGATTTTTTTTTTTTTTTTTTTTTGAGATGGAGCCTCACTCTGTCACCCAGGCTGGAGTGCAGTGGCACGATCTCAGCTCACTGCAACCTTCACCTCCCAGGTTCAAGCAATTCTCGTGACTCAGCCTCCTGAGTAGCTGGGATTACAGGAGCATGCCAACATGCCTGGCTAATTTTGGTATTTTTAGTAGAGACGGGGTTTTGCCATGTTGGCCAGGATGATCTCGAACTCCTGACCTCAGGTGATCCACCCGCCTCAGCCCCGCAAAGCGCTGCGATTACAGGCATGAGCCACCGTGCCCGGCCGAAATGGGACCATTTTTATTATCCCGTCATGACTCTCTCTGAGATAAGACCTTCTCTTGGCCTTGTAAGTTTTATTTTAACAGTGACAAAACACAGGAATATAAAAGGACCAGTCTTGTTGGCAACATGTGGTTTCAAGGAGTCTGACTTTTCCCGGCCTGGGTCTCTGGAACTGCTGCAGACTCTAAGAGCCCACTCCCCAGAACGACCCTCCATGCCCTGCGTCCTGATGACTTTGACTCCTGACCCTCAAGGTTGTCCAGTCTTGGCTGGCTTGGCTCTTCATGAGAACTTCAATTCTTTATTTTTAGTTGTATTTTTTCTACCCATGTGATGGAAAATAATTCCCGTCCAATGATGGGGATGGAAGGGTTGAGGAGGTGGGTAGGAGGAAGAACTTTCCAAAGAAAAACAAACGGAATTGATTTTCCAAGGTCTGTGCCTACATGGGTGTTTTTCCCTCTAAAAACATAGCAGGCTGAGTTGATTGACTTTAATTATATTGACTTACAGTTCTTGATTGTTGTTACTCTTTCCCTGGCATCTTTGGGAGAAATTATAGCTTGCTTTTACTCTGAAATAAAGATGTTTCCCTTTTTGCATGGTCTGGTCTAAATGCTTAATCATATGGGAAGAAAAAGAGAAGCCAGTGGATTGGCCTTATGGAAATGAACGTTAGAGGATAAACAGTTAGGGGCTTGATGAAATGTTCAAAGGCTTTTCTTGCTGATTTTCATGATTGTCTTTATTCACGCTGTTGTCATCCTGCCAGCCCAAGTACAGCTGCGTCTGTGATGCTGGGTGGATGTTTTCACCCAACAGCCCTGCCTGCACGCTGGACAGAGACGAGTGCAGCTTCCAGCCCGGGCCTTGCTCCACACTTGTGCAGTGTTTCAACACTCAAGGCTCTTTCTACTGTGGGGCCTGTCCAACAGGTACATTCTCAGGGCCACAAGCCAGGCTCTGCATGCCAGGTTGGCGAGGTGCCAGAACCAATTTTCTTTCACTATTGATGAGTAAGAAGACAATTCTTAGGAGGTGTTCAAATCCAGTTTTGTGTCCTGGTTCTGCTCGACGATCTCACTGCTATCACAATTCCACGTCAAAAGGGGGAGGCTTGTCCAAAACTGTGCTAGAGTCAGACTTTGGGGCAAGGTTAGCCATAGAATTTGTAAGTTAGACACTGCATTGCAGTGACCACCAACTGACCAGATTTGAGATCAAAAGAGATACTCTAGTCCCACCTTTCATACTAACCAGATGTTTGTACACATGGGGAAATTATTTGACCTCTTTGCATCTCCACCACAGTCTAGTAGCTCTTGCCTGGGTGTGTCATTAGAGTATCTTGCGGCCTTGACCTAAACAGAGGTATCCAGCTCCATTATGCCCTGCAGCAACTGAATCTCCAGGGATGCCATATGTTGAGTCATGGAAAACATGGGCTCCGTTAGTCAAAGACTGCCTGTGTTTGAATCCGAGGGCATCTTTTGTTTTATGAGATAGTCATCATATATTCCACACATTTTTTTTTTTGTAGGATGCCTACTATGAGCAAAGCACTGTGCTGGGTGCATTGGTAGGCAATTAGCCAGACCTCAGGTTCATCTGCGCTCCAGGGATGTTCTTAGAAATGGAGCCACAAAGATAATGTAATAATAGTAGCTGGTTTTGTTTTGTTTTGTTGTTGTTGTTTTGAGACAGAGTCTCTCCCTGTCACCCAGGCTGGAGTACAGTGGCATGATCTCAGCTCACTGCAACCTCCACCTCCTGGGTTCAAGCGATTCTCCTGCCTCACCCTCCCGAGTAGCTGGGATTACAGGCACACCTCACCACACCCGGCTAATTTTTGTATTTTTAGTAGAGATGGGGTTTGCCATGTTGGCCAGGCTGGTCTCAAACTCCTGGCCTCAAGTGATCTGCCTGCCCTGGCCTCCAAAACTGCTGGGATTACAGGCGTGAGCCACCACACACGGCCTGGTTTTTATTTTTAATCAAAGTGTTATTAAGGCATTGTATAAGCAATTTTTAATTCTTTTAACTACAACAAAATCAAGACATGGTAAAAATAAGTATTACTCACATTTTACAATATGAGAACTTGAGCTTAAAGAGGTTGAATAACTTGCCCAAGATCGCATAGCTTTACAGATAGCCAGAATTGAAACCCAAGTTTCTTGGCAAGTTTCTTCTCGCCAAGAAACCCCACACACCTATTGCCCCATGTAGTGATTTTTGGTTTAGTGGTTTTCTGCGTGTATATATTTAGATCTTGTAAAACTGGAAAGAAATGGAAAAAAAAAACCTATAAAGACTTTTTCCCTCTTAGTTCTCAGGGGCAAGCACAATTTGCAAGCAATCACATTTTGAAGGTAATTTATCATGGACAATCTTTAAAAACTATAAATCAGAAAAATAAATTATTTAAATTAGAAGATTGGCAATGTTTTTACATTCTTCTTTTTATTGTTGGAGAGGAAAAAGAGAAACAATTTTTTTGTTTTCTTGTTTATCACCCTATTTTTCCTGAAATATATGGTAGTTATATTTTATAAGCAGCAAAGCAATATATGCTGCTTATAAAATATCACTACAAAAATATGGAAAAAATAGAAAAAAATACCTTTGATCTTATCACACAGAGGACCATGATGAACATTTGGGCGTTTTTTTCTTCCAACTTTTTTTCATGTACACATTTTGCCATGCACAAATATGATAATTTTCTTAGGCAGAGTCTTAGAAGAGGATTCTACTTAAATCAAAGAATATGAATATTTTTAAATCTTTAAAGGTTTTTAAGAATTCTTATAATTTTAATAATTTGAATTATAAATCTACAACCATTGAATACAATGGGAACCACTAAAGTAAAATTCTTAAATCTCATCTTCCTAATGACACCATTAGTCATTTGTTCTCCTTCCTCTTCTACTTTATTCTTCATTTGTACAAGCACATATGCAAGAGTTTAAAAAATTCTTTCCCCAAATTAGGAGTATGAGCCCAATCCTCCATATGATTTTAACAGTTTGTTTTTGTTTTTGAGACAAAGTCTCGCCCAGGCTGGAGTGCAGTGGTGCAATCTTGGCTCACTGCAACCTCCACCTCCCGGGTTTGAGGGATTCTTCTGCCTCAGCCTCCCAAGTAGCTGGGACTACAGGCGTGAACCACCACATCCAGCTGATTTTTGTATTTTTAGTACAGATGGTGTTTCACCATTTTGGCCAGGCTGGTCTTGAACTCCTGGCCTCAGGTGATCTGCCCACCTCGGCCTCCCAAAGTGCTGGGATTACAGGCATGAGCCACCTTGCCCAGCCACATTTAGTATTTTAATTAATGTATATACAAAAATTCTTTCAATGTGTGTGTATGCAAATGTAGGTATACAGGTGTACACATGATATTAAAAAGCGTTTTTAGTATTTGGTCACAAAGATGAGTCATAAGGTGTTCAGCTATGCTTCTATTGATAATTGAGGGTTTTTTCCCTATTAAACAGTGCTGCGGTAGACATCCTCTTACCTACTTATACCAGTATACTAAGATGTATACTACCATCTTAGTATACTGGTAGTTTTATCACAATAGGCTGAGTTTTAATAGGTGCAACTGGCAGTCAAAGTCTATGTATTTTAAAAATTTTAGTGAATACTGCCAGAGCTCTTTCCAAATAGGTTATATCAATTTAATGTCTAGCTATCAGCATATAAGAGGAGCCCATTTGCCCACTTTGTTGTCAGAATTTGATTTTAAGAATTCAAAACAACTTTTGCCAATCTGATAAGCATATCTCATTTTTATTTTATAGTTCCTTAGGTGGAGAAGGTTTTTATATGTTTTGACTCTTGTATTTCTTCCTTGTTGACTTGTCTATAGAGCTAAACTTTTAAATCCTCTTGTTTTCCTAGGCTGGCAAGGCAATGGATATATTTGCGAAGATATCAATGAATGTGAGATAAATAACGGCGGCTGTTCTGTGGCTCCACCCGTTGAGTGTGTGAATACACCTGGGTCTTCCCACTGCCAGGCCTGTCCACCAGGTGCTGCCTCGGTTCAATGTCAACCTCCTGACCCCAGCACAGGGAACACAGACATAGGAATACGGAATCTAGTGCTCCATTTAAAATATGATTTCTGGCTGAGTGCAGTTGCTCATGCCTGTAATCCCAGCACTTTGGGAGGCTGAGGTGGGCAGATCACATGAGGTCGGGAGTTCGGGCCTGGCCAACATGGTGAAACCCTGTCTCTACTAAAAAGACAAAAATTAGCTGGGCATGGTGGTGCATGCTTGTAATCCTAGCTACTCGGGAGGCTGAGGCACGAGAATCGCTTGAACCTGGGAAGCGGAGATTGCAGTGAGCTGAGATCGCACCATTGCACTCCAGCCTAGGCAACAGAGTGAGACTCTGTCTTAAAAAAATAAAAAATAAAATATTATTTCTGTCTTAGGAGAGGAAATAGTACAGAAAGTTTTGCTTATCTTGTGAATTCAGGACACATTAGTACAACTCTATGATAAGAAAGAAAAAACATTTTGAATATCAGTAGAAAACAACAAACTTTACAAACTGTCAAATAGCTACAGAGATAATGCAGAATTTGAAAAGTTTTCTGAGTGGATCACAGACTTACTGTTCCATTGCCCTCACGAATAATTTGTTAATATCATGCACTCCTGAGTTGTTTTGCATATACCAAGTTTACTAAACCACAGGCATCACAGTAGGCATATATCGTAATTGTTGGTTTCCCTCCTTTTCTGGAAAGAAGTCTTTTCTGCTATTCTCTAATCTAAATCGAATTACTACCCAAGAAGTTCAGGGAGTACTAAGGGATAAACTGAAACCTTGTATGTTTAAATAACATGGAACTACAGTACTTTGGGCTTCTATAATAATTGACCTCTAAGAACATCAGAGTCACTGTAATATAAAAATATTAACTTTCTTAGTGTCAGCACTTTCTAAGTCTACCAGTAGTTTTATACATATTTTTTTCATTAGAAACAACCCAGAACATTGCTTATGAAATCAGGTTACTAATTCTTGTTATTTTTCTTATTTATGAAATTTCATTTGTTGATGACATTTTATACTTATATTTTTTGTTTCGATGATAGAGGATCCCTGATTGGTCCATTTCATGATATTTGAATCCTAGACAGGCTTTGTCCTCCCATCTTCTTGACATTGTTTCTTATGACCTGGCTCTTGTTCTCATCAGGGTACCAGGGTGACGGAAGAGTGTGCACACTCACAGACATCTGCTCAGTCAGTAATGGAGGCTGCCACCCAGATGCCTCATGCTCCTCAACTCTAGGTAATGACTCATCTCTCTCTTTGGCTTTGGGTATTGTAATATGACCTTCTAAACCAATTCAACATCTTAAACACAAAATCCTCTGTTCTCAAAATTGTTATTTTGACCTTCAAACCTAAAATTAATCCATGCCATAAAACTACACATTTGGCTTTCTTAAATATGTAATAAACTATGCTCTTTAATGGTCTGCTCTGATTTAGGAAATAAGGTAATTAAGCCAGTTAATTAATTAACGACTGTATTCCAACAAGCAGGCAGGAGAAAAGGAGGAAGAAGGCAATGCCACCTTCTTTTGAAGGACTCTTCCATTTCTAGGCCATTGCTTAGAACTGAGCTTTGCTGCAAAGGGAGTTTGGGAAGTACACTCTATATTTCAGGCATCCTGAGTCCAGCTGAAATAAGGAGTTCAGAAAGAAGGAAGTAGAAAATAGATCTAGGGTGACAACCAACAGTGTTTGCAATGCTGCATAGAAGGGTTTAACCCTGTAATTTAACAAAATATATACTGCTAAACTTTCTCCAAGAAAGATTGTATCAATTTATGTATTCACCGACAGTGTATAAAAATACATATTTACTCCATCTTTGACAATAATAGATATTATTATTATTTTTCATCTTGGTCAGTTTTATAGGCAAAATTAGTTTTTCCATTATTTTCATTTATACTTTTTGATTACTAATAATTAATACTTTCCACATTTTCACTGGGCATCTTTCTACTTGTTCATCCCCTTTGCTCTCTTTCTTTCTTACTGATTGGTAAAGTTTCTTTATGTACTAAGGACATTATCTCATTATCTGTCTTATGTTTTATAAGTGTTTTTCCTGGCATGTTGTTTTTGTTTTAATCTTGTAGTGGTAGTGCTATTCAGAAGTTTAGAATTTTTACGTAGTCAAAAAGATAAATCTTTTCTCTTACTATTTCTCCCTTCACAGTCATGTTTAGGAAGGCTTTCTTTACTGAACTCTTTAAAAATTGTCAAGTACATGTTCTTTTATACTTCTATGGTTTCTTTTTTTATGGTAAGATATTTTATATTTTTAGAATGTATTTTTTATCCGTAGCATCAAATAGAGATCTGGCTTGGTATTTTTGCTCAAATAAGTGGACCCAGTTCCATTTCTTGAATAATCATGTCTCTTGCTATTTCAAGATACCACCTTTATTTTTTATTAATTTGTCATATACTTGCATATATAGAAAAGAACATATATGTGTATGTAAACACACACACACACACACACACACACATATACTTGTGACTAAATGCTTATTAAATGATTATCAACATACCAAAGTGGTTAGGAGCATGATTTCTAGATAAAGACTGCTTGCATTTTTCCCTGGGCTCCACCAGATTTTAGCTGCTTGTCCTCAGTGAAGACACTTAATCTCTGTGCTTTAGTTCTTCATCTGTAAAATGAGGATAATAATAGCACCTACCTCAGGGTGCTTCAGATGATTAAATGAGTCCTTATATGTAAAGTGCTTGTAACAAATATTATTACAAAAATAACTGTTTTTTAATATGGAGGACAGTCATAATGTTGATGACATGAAGTATTAATAACACTTTGTGTACTTTTAGGCTGCCCTTCTTTACTGCAACCTGTAAGTTTACCCTGGGAAACTTAAAAAATTTCTACTCAGAGCTTCAACAGTTTCAGAGCTTGCTTACTCCATTTTTCCCTATAAATATTTTTAAAAGAAGTAATTAACTATAAAAAAATGCATTTCTAGGCAATTATTTATTTAAAAGAAATATTTGTGTTTTTTAATATTGAAGTGGAATCTTGCAAGTAATATAAGCTGAGAACATAACAAAACTTGTATTTTTGCCAGGCGCGGTGGCTCACGCCTGTCATCCCAGCACTTTGGGAGGTCGAGGCAGGTGGATCACGAGGTCAGGAGATAGAGACCATCCTGGCCAACATGGTGAAACCCCGTCTCTACTGAAAATACAAAAAATTAGCCAGGCGTGGTGGCGGGCACCTGTAGTCCCAGCTACTCGGGAGGCTGAGGCAGGAGAATGGCGTGAACCCGGGAGGCGGAGCTTACAGTGAGCTGAGATCGCACCACTGCACTCCAGCCTGGGCGACAGAGCGAGACTCCGTCTCAAAAAAAAAAAAAAAAAAAAAGAACAACTTATATTGTCATTCAATTCTACTGTAAATCTGTCACATTGTGTAATTTGTTCTATTTTTTAAATTATTCAGCAGGGTTTTTCTATCCATCTTTAACAGTTCTTGCTGATGGAGGAATGTAGTTAACTGCCACATTGATTTCCTTGTATTATTTCAACCATTGTGCAGTAGTAGAAAGAACATATATTTCTGCAATGAGATGTGGCTTTTTGCTATTAAGTGAGAAATCTGGAAAACTCTCTGGATATTAAATTTAGTAAAATTTTGTAATGTCTATGACGAGTATTTTTAACCTAACATTGCGTAAGAAAACTGTCAAGATGCTGGATGCTCTAAAACTATTGTTAGCTATTACCTCATGTACATCATAATTAATCGTGGATGTTAATTCATGTTTTAAATAGACACGATCATTTCAAATTCCTTTTGACCAAGTTCCTTCCTAACCTAATTCGATTGCCATTGTTTTAACCTTGTACCTTGGCAATGAGGAGCTCATCAGAAGTGTGGGAGAAGTTTTGGTGCTGGTATTTTGTTGATGTCCCCATATATTTATGTTACTATATTATCTTCAATCTGTGGTTTTATTGCAAACGTCTTTTAGAGACTTAAGTTCATTCTGTGATAGCTATTTAGCCTGTTTAAAACTGGCAGCATGCAATCTGCACATCCACATAACTGGGGACATGTGGCCTGCCTGTGTAAGCCACACTCCTGTACAGGTGTGCTGTAGGCAGCCTACACACGAGGGGAGTGCTTGCTCTCTGGGCTCCCCTCATTCTAGCTGTGTGTGTGTGTCCTTGGCCGGGACAGGCTGTCTGTGTACTGGCTTCATCTGTAAAGTGGGGATTATAAGAGAGTACCTATATAGGGCTTTTTTTTTTTTTTTTTGAGATGGCGTTTTGCTCTGTCTCCCAGGCTGGAGTGCAGTGGCAGGATCTTGGCTCACTGCAACCTCCACCTCCTGGGTTGAAGTGATTCTCCTGCCTCGGCCTCCTGATTAGCCTGGACTACAGGCCACCATGCCCCGCTAATTGTTTTGTATTTTTAGTAGAGACAGGGCTTAACCATCTTGGCCAGGCTGGTCTCAAACTCCTGACCTCAGGTGATCCGCCTGCCTCGGCCTCCCAAAGTTCAGGGATTACAGATTCCATAGGGCTCTTTATTAGTATTATTATTATTATAATTAAAAAATTTTTTCTTGGAAATGGAGTCTCACTCTGTCACCCAGGCTGGAGTGCAGTGGCACTATCTCAGCTCACTACAACCTCTGCCTCCTGGGTTCAAGTGATTCTCCTGCCTCACCCTCCCAAGTAGCTGGGATTACAGGCGTGTGCCACCATGCCTGGCTAATTTTTGTATTTTTAGTAGAGACAGGGTTTCTCCACATTGGCCAGGCTGGTCTCGAACTCCTGAACTCAAGTGATCTGCCCTCCTCAGCCTCCCAAACTGCTGGGATTACAGGCGTGAGCCACTGTGCCTGGCCCTCTATTGGGCTCTTGGGAGGATTAAATCAGTCAGAGTAAGTCCAGTGCTTGCAACAGATAGTTTCATCCTAAGAATCTCCTTTTCTGCATTAACTCCTCCATGATGAGGAATGTCTGTCTTCCCCAGGTGCAGCTCACCTTTGTGCACAGCTCAGGACCATCTGACATATGGGCTGACAGCACCCATGTCAACCCAGTACGTCAATAATGTGTGGAAGGCATTTAATGGCTTTCTTATTTTAAGATAAGAAATACAAAAATAAAGATTCTAATATTTTCTCCTCATACCTTGTTTTGTCTGCCCGTCAAAATACACAGACTGGATGTTGGTGGATCCTTGTCTAGACAGCAGATTCTGAGTTTAGATACTGCATCCGAACAGAGGAGGAGACCTGTATTTACACGTTTGTTTTTATTTCTGAACAGGTTCCTTACCTCTCTGCACGTGTCTCCCGGGTTATACTGGAAATGGTTATGGGCCAAATGGATGTGTGCAGCTCAGTAATATTTGCCTAAGTCACCCCTGTCTAAATGGACAATGCATCGTGAGTCCTTTGTTTTTCCTGTGGACAGAGAGTACCTGAGAATTAGTTTCACGCCTATAAAATGTAACGTTATAGGATTCAGGAATGTCAAGATAATGAGTCAAGTTTCAGATAAGGAACTGTCGAGAACTCTCAGATGAAAGATAGATAATGATTTTAGTTCTTAGGAAAAAACATTGAGTTAATTTTTTGTCTCAGTGGTTTATGAAGTACTAAAACTACGCCTGCAGTTTGATCTAAATAAATCTGACATACAAAACAATTACCATTTAAACCTATTAATAACAAGTAGACTACTAGAAAATACTTACATATAAACACATATATATTTGTAGCACCTGTTAAATATATCAGTAGGCCAGGCGTGGTGGCTCATGCCTGTAATCCCAACACTTTGGGAGGGTGAGGCGGGTGCATCACGAGCCAGGAGATCAAGACCAGCCTGACCGACATGGTGAAACACTGTCTCTACTGCAAAAAGTTAGCCAGGTGTGGTGGCGCGTGCCTGTAATCCCAGCTACTCAGGAGGCTGAGACCGGAGAATCACTTGAACCCGGGAGGCAGAGGTTGCAGTGAGCTGAGATTGCACCACTGCACTCCAGCCTGGCCGACAGAGCGAGACTCCATCTCAAAAAAAAAAAAAATTATATATATATAATTATACATATATAATTATTACATAAATAATAATTATTTTTAAATATATAATTATATATTATTTTATATATAATAATTATATAATTATTATATATTATATATCTCCATGGCACTACATTCCTATTATTTGGGTTGATTAAAGTTTAGTGTCTATCCATTTGTTTTATGGTATTATGTGTTTTTTTTCCCCTTAGGACACTGTCTCTGGTTATTTTTGTAAGTGTGACTCAGGTTGGACAGGTGTCAACTGTACAGAAAACATCAATGAGTGTTTGAGCAACCCCTGTTTGAATGGAGGAACTTGTGTTGATGGCGTTGATTCTTTCAGTTGTGAATGCACACGTCTCTGGACTGGAGCTCTCTGTCAGGTTCCTCAGCAAGGTACAGTCAGCATTTCTTATGCCACGGATGCTCACAGCATAGCAGCAGCATCCTTTAGTGAGTCCCTCAACAGATTCCTCTGCTGAACCCACTTTCTTGTCCAGTTGCTCAGATACTGAGAACTAAGTCTTTCCTTGCAGAAATGGTATAAAATTCACAAGCTAAATATTTATAAATCTCACTGTAAGCCAAGAACTTTTCTTCCAAAGAATAAATACATTAGTATTTGCCATTTTCACTATGTCCTTTTTGAATATAAAACATGCTAAGGTATTGTCTTTTATGGTTTTCTAAAGGGAAGTTTTCTGAGGAGCAGCCACTTAATTTCCCTAGAGTACTGCATTGAATCAAGTCACTCTCCCTTTCCAGGATACACAGTGGCTTCCCGTTGCCTGTTAAATAGAGACTGGGATTAATTTTCAATGATCTTCTATAACCAAGTCTCACTCAATCCATCTAACCTTTTTTTTCACTAGTTCCCTAGAAATAACTTCACTCAAGCAAGTTTTCTTTCGTCACCGGACCCCATGTACCACCATGAGTATTTTCCACTGTGTTCATTTATTTGGAATGTTTCTCCCGATAAACCTCCTCACACATCTTCCTTGTTTCTCATCCAGATGTGTCTGTCCCTCAGGAGCACTTCCCTCTCAACTTCTTCCATAAAGTCACTTTTGACTCTTCTGCCCCTCACTTAAACTCCTGATTTGGAATCAACACATTTATTGAGAGGTTGTTGTTATATGTTTAGGACAATAGTAGACCCTATGGAAAAATATGAAAGTGTAAAATACTGTCTCCACTTATGAACTGCTCACCTTGCAGCTGAGGAGACAAGACCAACCCCAATGGGAGAACAGATACAAGAGTTAAAGACATGAGCTATGTTGTGTGGGGTGAAATTGGGTGTCACAGGGACACAGAGAATGGGAATCAGTGAAAACATAAGACATGGCAGTTCATGGAGCAGGTGATGAGGCATCAGCTGAGCTTTGAACAAGAGGTGGGATTTCTATGGAAGTTGACAGAAAAAGGGCACAGAGGAGAGGGAATGGCAGGGCTTTTATCTCCAACCTTCATTACTCAAATTTTCTCTAAGTTTATCAGCAGCAGGGTTACAGTTGCCCAACCTCTTCCTTTTAGGAACCTCTGAAAAGCACAGTTCATCTTTTCCTTTGCAGTTTGTGGAGAGTCCCTCTCAGGAATAAATGGAAGCTTCAGCTACAGGAGCCCGGATGTTGGTTATGTTCATGATGTTAACTGCTTCTGGGTTATCAAAACTGAAATGGGAAAGGTAAATGTAGTAACTCTTGCCCAAATGCATATTATATTTGTATATATAAATATGGAGTATGTGTATATTTTATTACATAAAATACATGCAATGATAATTCAACTATCATATATTGAGTGCTTACTAAGTACGGAGTGCCATTATTTTGGCTAGACATATACCTACCTTTTCATAACCTTACATTAATTGTTTGAAATAAGTCACAGGGGCTGGGTGCAGTAGCTCTTGCCTGTAATCCCAGCACTTTGAGAGGATGAGGTGGGTGCATCACCTGAGGTCAGGAGTTCCAGACCAGTCTGGTCAATATGGCGAAACCCTGTCTCTACTAAAAATAAAACAAATAAAAAAAAATTAGCCAGGTGTAGTGGCACATTCCTGTAATCCCAGCTACTCGGGAGGCTGAGGCAGGAGAATTGCTTGAATCCAGGAGGCGGAGTTTGTAGTGAGCAGAGACAGTGCCACTGTACTCCAGCCTGGCCAACAGAGTAAGACTCCATCTCACAAAAAAAAAAAAAAAAAAAAAAAAAAAGAGTAACAAGGCCAGGCCTGGTGGCTCACGCCTGTGATCCTAGTACTTTATGAGGCTGAGGCGGGCACATTGCCTGAGGTCAGGAATTCAAGACCAGCCTGGCCAACATGGTGAAAATCCAGCTCTACTAAAATGACAAAAATTAGCCAGGTATGGTGATGGGTGCCTTTAATCTCAGGTACTCGGGAGGCTGAGGCAGGAGAATCACTTGAGCTCAGGAGGCAGAGGTTCCAGTGAGCTGAGATTGCACCACTGCACTCCAGCCTGGGTGACAGAGCAAGACTCTGTCTCAAAAATAAATAAATAAATAAATAAATAAATAAATAAATAAATAAATAAATAGGAGGATCCTCCTTTTATAGATGAAATAATGAAAAGTAGGTGAAGCTAAACATTTTTTGTTAACACTTCTTAGCTTGTAATTGTAATAGTTGAATTTCAAAGTCAAGTTTGTCTGGTTCCAAAGTCCATGCTTTCTCCAGCATGAATGATTCTCTACACTGGTTGACTGACTGCAAGCCACTAGTTAATCTGTAAAATCATGTTGTTACTGAGACAGTATTTTAGAAGATGGTTGCTTAGTTTTATGTTGATTATTGTGCAAAAATGGCCACTGATATTAAGATAGTTTTCTTATCAAATGTCTTTGCTCTGCCATGTTCTATACTAAGTGCTCCATATACATTACAGCATTCCATTTTTAACTCTCATAACCCTGAAAGATAGAAATTATTATCTTCATTTTACACATGAGGAAACAGAGCCTAGTGCCATTGAGAAGTGTGTCCAGGTGCATGTGGTTCGAAAGTGGCATGCAGTGACTCAGACACAGGCCAGTCACCTCCACAGCCTGTCACTCTGAGCCGCTCCGTGAACGCTCTTCAAATTAAGATCCAAGTCCAAGGTTTTTAGTGCTCTTATACCCGACATTAATTACCCAGGCATTTCTAAATATTGTTTCTCAACCACCTCCTGGATTCATAAAAATAAAATGGTATGTCTGAATAGATAAAATTTTCCCTTGAAATCCTATTAACTTTTTCCAGCAAACTATTACAGAGGGCATTGTACAAGGGTCAAAAAACATTTTTTTTTCCTTTGAGGAGGGAGGACTATTTGCGACCTGGTAACCTCACACTAAAATAAACTCCAAAATAAATTTCCCAGTGGGTATGCTATGTGAATTTCCTTCCTTCCATTTAGTTTTCATGAATTCTATTTCCTGGCATTGAAAACATTCTTTTGAAAAAAAAATATTCTTAGGTGAGAAACTTGTAATACTTTCATTACCAATTCGCAAGAAAATTCATCTTGTTTTTTTCTTGATTATTGTGATTTCATATCTTCTCACTCATAATGGACATAATATGGTAGAAAATATATACAAATCAGGATAGTTCAATTAGTGAACATTTGAGTTTCATTTAAACTGTTTTAAGAAAGTCATGTAGTAATAGGTAACTGATCTTAAAATACCCTAGCACAGAATTTAAAAAATTCCTTATATTCTTTTTCATTAACTGAATATTGTTGTGATTTTAGGTTCTGATGAAAATTAAATTCGACAGCCTTCTTTTGATTGTTTATCTCAAATGAGGTTGTCAGTACGTTTTATAAGTTATATTACTATATTTGAAGTCTGTATTCTAATCCATTCGGACACATTTTTGTGTTTATTCTCTTCTACTTGTATGCTCAGTATTTTTCCTGTTATTCTTGTATGCTCAGTATTCTTCCTCTCATTCTCTACTCTTGGTATTACTCATCCTTTAATTATATCCAGTCCCTGAAGCCGTCCAGGCCTTGCTTGTCTACATCCCGCCTACTCCGCCCACACCTGAGCGTGTCGGTCTGGGCTGGCGTCAGAATCTTAGCCCCTCTGGAATCAACATCCCTGGCGGGCAGTGATGAACGTCTGTGTGTTTGATAACAGGCCACAGGTTATTCAGGGAATTAGGGTGTACATTCTTGTGAATGGTAATATTAGCCAGTTCAACTTAATTCAGGTAGATTTTCAAATCTCCAATTTATTTTACTGCTTTAGAAACAATGTCAGTTATATATTTGACATACCTTGGTCTGGTGGACTTGACAAGTTTAATGAAATTGGGGTAAATCTATGTTATTAACATTAAGATTTTTTGATATATTTTGATATTAGTTGAAGTTTGTTTTTAACAATATTTAGCACAAGTTATTTAGTATATAGATTGCCATATGTACTGGTGGATAATTAGGGAATGATAGGTCTAGCTCTTGAAAGTGCCTCAGTATGAATGCTGCCTAGGAAGTGGGAGAAATACTTTAAAATTTACATGGAAGTAAAAGATAATATATGTGGCCTTTGTATTTTTAGGTCCTGCGTATCACTTTCACTTTTTTCCGGTTAGAATCCATGGACAACTGTCCACACGAGTTTCTTCAGGTTTATGATGGAGATTCCTCTTCTGCTTTTCAACTTGGAAGATTTTGTGGCTCCAGCCTCCCTCATGAACTCCTCAGCAGTGACAATGCTCTCTATTTTCATCTCTATTCTGAACATTTAAGAAATGGGAGAGGCTTTACAGTAAGATGGGAAACACAGCAACCAGGTATGTGTGAACCTGGAGAAAAAAGCAAGCAAAATTTTGAGGTTATTAAGTGTTCTTAATCAGTGTTAGACTTTTGGATACATGAGATGTTTTGGGATCTGAAGATATATAATATTTTTATAATTTATTTTATTTTATTCATTTATTTATTTTGAGACAAGGTCTTACTCTGTTGCCCAGGCTGGAGTGCAGTGGCCTGATCACGGCTCACTGAAACGTCGACCTCCTTTGCTCAAGTGATCCTCACACCTCAGCCTTCTGAGTAGCTGGGACTACAGGTGTGCACCACCACTCCAGGCTAATGTTTTGTGTGTTTTTTATAGAGATGGAGTTTCTCTATGTTGCCCAGGCTGGTCTCAAACTCCTGGGCTCAAGCAATCCATCTAATTTGGCCTCCCAAAGTGCTGGGATTACAGGCATGAGCCACTGTGACCAACCATAATTACTTTAAAATCAAATCAACCTAGAATTAATTAGAATTTATTTTGTGTCTAAAGGCAACAAAATAAGCATGAAATAGAAGGGATTAAAAAACATGAGTCTTAGTTGGTCCCTTATCAAATTACTGAACAGCCTTTTTATAAGCTCTACTAGTAGTTTACTGCAGGAATATTGAGGACATTGTCCACCCCTTCATGTAGTATTCCTTCATCTTAATGATCACTCAATAATTTTTTCTTTTTGTTATTATTTTGTTTTAATTATTCTATTTTCTTTTAAGTTTTTACTATGCAAGTTTTAAACAAATAAAAAGTAAAGAGATCAGTATACCATGCCCCCAATTCATTCATCAATACATCTGTGGATCAATTTCAGCATTTTCTCATCTTTTTTACTGGTGTTTTTATCTATCCTGATGCTACCTAGGCTTAACTTCTGATGCTTGAAATCTGAGAGTGTAATTTCAACTTTGTTCTTTTCAAAGATGTTGGATATTCTGCATTTCCATATAAGTTTTTGAATCAACTTGTCAGTTTTCCCAAAGAATTTTATGGGAATTACATTGAAACTATAATTAACTTTGGAAGAAATGACATCTTAAAAATATTCAGCCTGCCAATGCATGAACATAAACTATTTTTAAATTTAGTTCTCTTTTCATTTATCCTGGCAATGTTTTATAGCTTTCAGTGTCTAAGTATTCCATATCTTTGTTAGATTTATTTACAGATATTTGATATATTATGCTTAGTGAAATATTAATTTTCTAAAATTTAATTTTTCACTTGTTATGTAAAAATATGTATTTTTTAAATATTTGATTTTGATTCCATATACATTGTTAAATTCACTCATCATGTCTAATTATTTTTTGTAGATTCTTTTGGATTTTTTAAACGTACATAATTACATCATGTGTGAATGAAGGATATTTTTCCTCTTCCTTTCCAGTCTTTGTAACTATTATTTCTTTTCCTTGACTTATTGCCCTGGCTAGGACCTTCAATACCAAGCCGAATAAAAGTGGTGAAAAGGAAATCCTTGTCTTTTCCCCAGCAGCATGGGGAAATGCTCAATATTTCATTGTTGAATATGATGTTAGCTGTAAGTTTTCACAGATAATTTTTATCAGATGAAGAGTGTTCTTTCCTATGTCAACTACTATTGCTGTATAACTAATTTCCCACAAATTTAGTGTTGTAGAACATTAATCATTTGACTTTGTTTCTGATTTTGTGGGCCAGGAATTTGGAAAGAACCTAACATGACAGTTGCTACTTGAAATCTATTCAGCAGTTATAAGCGGGTGTCAGCTGGGACTGTAGCTGTCTAAAGGCTGGACTGGGCTGAATATCCAAGATGGCCTACTCCAGTGGCTACCAATTGATGCTGGCTTTCAATGAGAGTTCAACTAGGCTATGGACCTGAGTGCCTACATGTGGCTACTCTAAAAAGTTTGTCTTAGAATAGTGAAACTTTCTTCGTGGCAATTGGCTTCTCTCAGAGCAAGCATTACAACAGAACCAGACAGGTGCTGCGTGGGAATTTTTCAGCCTATGTTTGGAAGTCATTGTGTTATTTCTGCCATACTCAATGGGTTAACTTAGTCACAAGCTGACCCAAATTCAAGGCGAGGGGACATAGGCCCACTTCTAAATGGGAGAGGTGTCAGAATTTATAAAGAATTAAAAAAAAACCCACACCTTTTGTTCCTAGTTACCAAGAATTTTAAAAAATCATGAATGAATGTTGAAACATATAAAATACTTTTTCTGACTCTATTCAGGTGATCATATGTTTTTTGTCCTCTATTCTGTAAATATAGTGAGTTAAATTGATTGATTTTGAATGGTGAATCAACTTTGCATTCATCAAATATTTTCCATTTGTTCATGGCAAGTTATGCTTTTTATACATTGCTAGATTTTATTTGCTAATATGTATTTTTAGGATTTTTATATCTATATTTGGGTGATATTCTTTTGTAATTTTGTCAAGTTACAGGTAATGTCAATGTTTTAAAATTAATAGAAAAGTGTCCTCTCTTTTTATATTCTCTGGAAGGATTTGTGTAAGATTGACAATATTTCTTAAATGTTTGAAATAATTTACCATAAAGTTAATTGAGCCTGCAGGCTTCCTTGTGAGAAGGCTTTAAATTATGATTCAATGTATTTAATATAGATCTATTCAGAGTTTACATTTCTTCTTTTTTCAGTTTTGGCAATTTTTTTCTCAAGAAACTCATCTGTACTTTCAGAATATTTTCTTACTATGTTTTAGTGTTCGTAGGCTCTGTAGTGATGTCGTCTCTTTTCATTCCTGATATTGATAATTTATGTTATCTTTTTTACCTTGATAAGTCTTACCAAGGATTTGTTAGTTTTACTAATGTTTTCAAAATTCCAACTATTGGCTCCGTTAATGTTTTCTGTTGATTTTTATTTCATTGATTTTCCTCATGGTTTTATCATTTTCTTCCCTTGTGTTATTTTGCACCTAATGTATGGTTACTTTAACAATTTTTTCCTAGCTTCTTGACTTGGAAGCATTGACAAATGAGTTTGAACTTCTTAGAATTTCTAATATATGCACTAATACTAATGCATTTTCCTTGGAGAACTTTTATTTGCATCCCACAGGTTTTAATATGTATGTTTTCATTAGCATTCGGCTGAAAGTATTTTGTCATTTTTATTTTGAATTCTCTGTGACCATAGGTTTTATTAAAATTATACTGTTTATTTACCAATGTGATCACTAATCATGCAGTATATTATTTCAATCTTTAAAATTTGTTAAGATTTACTTTATAGACCAAAGTCTATTTTGGTGCATTTATTGTATGGACAGGAAAGAATGTATATTCTGTAATGGTTAGATGTAGTCCTCTACCTATATTAACTTAGTCAAGTTGGTAAATAGTGTTTTTCAAATATTAAATTTCTTTACTGATTTAAAAAAATATTTGCTTTATTACTTAGTCAGAAAGTTATAGTAAAATCTCAAACTATGATTCTAGATTTGCCAGCTTTTTGTTCTGAAACTTTTGCTTTATTTATTTTCTTACATTATTTTTATCTTCTTTTCCCAATATTTCAAGCATTTATGTTTTCCCAGCTTTATTGGAGCTTAACTGACAAATGAAAGTTATATATATTTAAGATGTACAATGTAATGTTTTGATATTTTGATATATGTATAACTTGTGAAATGATTACCACAATGTAACTAATATATCTATCATACATAGTTACCATTTTAGTCAATATGGTGAAAATATTTAAGATCTACTGTCAGCAGTTTTCAAGTGTATAATACAATATTGTTAATGATAGTCACCATGCTGTACATTAGATCTCTAGAAGCTATTCATTCCAGAGAACATAAACGTTTTAGCCTTTGACCAACATTTCCCTATTGCCCCCACCTCTCAGCTCCTGGCCACCACCATTCTACTTTCTGCTTCTATGAGTTTAACTTTTTTTAGATTTCACATATAAGCGAGAGCATGCAGTGTTTGTCCTCCTATGTCTGGCTTATTTCACTCAGCATGTCTCCCTGTTTCATCCATGTTGTCACAAATGACAGGATTTCCTTTTCTTTTTAAGGATAAATAATATCCCATTTATGTCTGTGTGTGTGTTTTTGTGTATTTATATATTGCACTTTTTCTTTATCCATTTACCTGTTGATGAGCACTTAGATTGATTCCATATCTTGGCTATGGTGAATGTATGAATGTATTGTGAATAATGCTGCAATGAACATGAAAGTGCAGATAGCTCTTCCAGATATTTATTTAATTTTCTGTGGATATATAACCAGAAGTGAGATTGCTGAATCATGTGGTAGCTCTGTGTTTAATTTTTTGAGGAACCTCCATATTGTTTTAAATATGGCTGTACCAGTATACTTTCAACAAGGGTTCCCTTTTCTCCACATCTCATCAATACTTGTTGTCTTTTATCTTCTCGATAATGGCCATTCTAACAAGTATGAGGTGGCATCTTATTGTGGTTTTGATTTGCATTTCCATGATGATTAGTGATGTTGAGCATTTTCTCATATATTTGTTGACCATTTATATGTTTTCTATTCAGAAATGTCTATTTGGATCCTTTGCCCATTTTTAAGATTGGGTTAGTTTGTTTTGTTGATATTGAGTTGAGTTTTTTATATATTTCAGTTGTGCTTTTGTGGTCATATCCAAAAAAATCACTACTCAGACTAATGTCATAGGGCTTTTCCTGTATGTTTTCCTGGATTGGTTCTTCAGTTTTAGGCCTTATGTTTAAGTCTTTAATTTTGAGTTGACTTTGTATGTGGTGTGGGATAAGGGTTCAGTTTCATTTTTCTGCAAATGGATATCCAGTTTTCTTAGCACCATTTATTATAGACTATCCTTTACATGTTGTATGTTCTTGCCATGTTTGTCAAAAATCAATTCAGCATAATATATGGACTTATTTCTGGGCTCTCTATTCTGTTCCATAGGTCTAGATATCTGTTTTTAATGCCAATACCATACTGTTTTGATTACTACAGTTTTGTAATATATTTTAAAATCAAGTAGTGTATTTTTATTTTAAATGTATTTTTAAATCAGGATGCCTCCAGGTTTCTTCTTTTTGCTCAAGATTGCTTTAGCTATTTGGGGTCTTTTGTGGTTTCATATGAATTATAGGATTCTTTTTCTATTTTGTGAAAAATACCATTGGAATTCTGTTAGAGATGGCATTGAACTGTAGACTGCTTTGCATAGTATGGACATTTTAACAGTATTCTTTCAATTTGTGAACACCAAATATTTTCTTTTTTTCATTAATGTGGTATAGTTTTCAAAATACAGATATTTCACTTTCTTGGTTAAATACATTCCTAAGTATTTAACTTTTTGACACTATTGTAAATGGGATTTTCTTCTTAATTTCCTTTTTGTACAGTTAGTTGTTAATGTATAGAAATGCAACTAATTTTATATGTTGATTTTATATCCTGTAACTTTACTGAATTAGTTTGTTCATTTATTAGTTCTAAAAGTATTTTAGTGGAGTCTTTAGGGTATTCTATGTATGAAAGATCATGCCATTTGCAAACAGACCATTTTACATTCTAATGGGATCATTTTTCTTCAGCCTGAAGAACATATTTTAATATTTCTCACAGAGCATGTCTGTTGAAGACAGATTCCCTCAGCTTTTGTTTAAGAATGCATTTTTTACCTTAATTTTTGAAGGATATTATTACACATAGAATTTTAGGTTGACCATTTCCTATTAGCTCTCTAAGAATACCACATCAGTGTCTTGTCACTTCCATAATTTTTTTGGGGAGAGGAACCTCAGCAGTAATTCTTGTTGTTCTCCTGAAGATAATGTGTCTTTTTCTCCACCCTCACTGCTTTTATTGTGTGTTTATATTTAATTTTCCACAACTTGATTATGGCGTATCTAGATCTGGTTTTCTCTGTGTTTGTCCTGCTTGAGAGTCACTGAGAGTTTTGAATCTATAGGTTGCTTTCTTTTATACAATTTTGAGAAATTTCAGCCAATATTTTTTCAAATATTGCATTGCCACTTTTTTCCTCTTTCTTCTCCTTCTGAGACTCAAATTACACATATGCTGAAGGTTTTGACTGTTTCTAATAGTTCTTATGGTTTTATATTCTTGCCTTCTTTTTTTGCTTTGATTCCATTTGGTTATTTTGTTTTGGAAAGTCTGTAAGTACTGTTGAAATGTTCTTCAACTATTTTGTCAACCTTTTCCTCTAAGTTTTATCATAATTATTTTGGAGTCATTGTTTGGTAGCCTCAGTATCTGGAATGTTTCTGGCTTTGCTGAGATTGCCTGTTTTATTTATTATTGGGTTTTGGTTTTTTTTTTACTACTTCCTCACAGGCCTAGTCAGTTTTTATTGTGAGCAGGACATTATACGTGATATGTTGCAGGGGTTCTGGATTATATTATCTTCCTCTCAGAAGGGTTGGGTTTTTTTCTAGTAGGCACTTATGTTCCTGGCAGATCACTTTCATTCAATCAAGGCTTGAATTTACAGGGGACCTATTTCAAATTTTCCATGAATCCTGGTGGATTGCCATATTTCCTAGAATATGAATCTTACTCCTGTAGCATACTTTTCTCACGTTTCAATTCAGTTCTCAGGGTTTTCATAAAAGTATCTCCTTTCTGACTGAATGAGGCAACACATCCCTTCAGTATTTATTATGCAGTCTCTCTTCAATTCTTAGCAACTTCCCTCCCCTCCGAAACTGTTCTCTGTTAGTTAGACCTGCTGTCTTCTCTGTGCATTTGCAGCTTGGGAATGAGCTAAGGACCCAAGGAAATGCCTGTACATTTTTGAGGTGCCATTTCCATGCAGCTGCTTTCCTTATAGTATGCAGCTCCAAAACCGCCAGATGCTTTGGTAGCCCTAAATCGTGAGTTGTTTGTTTGCCATAGCAAGGGTATTGCTGTCTCCTTGGGCTTCACTTCTTTGAATTCTTGAGTGTGTATGGGACATACTTTATATGCTTCTCTTTTCAGAGATTACAGTCCTTTGCTGTTTGTTCTCAATGCCTGAAAATGATAAAAACTAAAACAAACAAACAATAATTCCTTACTATTATCAATCATTAATCATTGTTCATTTTTTCTTAAGTGAGAGCAAGTTTATTAAGACAGTAAAGAAATAAAAGAATGGCTACTCCATAAGCAGAGCAGTGGCATGGACTGCTTGACTGAGTATACTTACAGTTATTTTGTGATTATTTGCTAAACAAGGAGTGAATTATTCATCAGTTTTCTGGGTAAGAGGTGGGCAATTCCTGGAACTGAGGGTTCCTCTTCTTTTTAGACCATGTGGGGTAACTTCCTGATGTTACCATGGCATTTGTAAACTGTCATGGCACTGGTAGGAGTGTCTTTTAGCATGCTAATGCACTATAATTAGCATATAGTGAGCAGTGAGGACGACCAGAGGTCACTTTCCTCACCATCTTGGTTTTGGTGGTGTTTGACTGCCTTCTCTACTGCATCCTGTTTTATCAACAAGGTCTTTGCGACCTGTATCTTGTGCCGACCTCCTATCTCATCCCGTGACTATGAATTCCTTAAACTCCTGGAAATGCAGTCTAGTAGGTCTCAGCCCTATTTTATCCAGCCCCTATTCAAGATGGAGTTGCTCTGGTTTGAATGCCTATGGTTTATTACCCCACTCCCTTTTACAAGGGGACCTTTAATCCTAAGGGTTGTAGAGGGATGTCAGTCCATTTTCTGTAACTCCTTCAGGATGAATAGGGGTGATGATATTCCTGCCTAACTATTAGGGTCTCTTGTATTCAGGGTAGAGAGGAGCTTAGTCAGAAAGCGTCAGTATGGTGAGACCCGTTCATAACTCTGATAAAAGGTGATATCCACAGTCTGCCAGTTGGTGCTACAGTCTGTTTCCTATGGGTCAGGGGTTTTCTCCGTATCGTCCCTGTGGGGTTTGCCAGGAAGATGTTACCAGAAAGGATTCCTGATCTAGACCCCAAGAGAGGGTTCTTGGACCTTTCACAAGAAAGAATATGGGGTGAGTCCATACAGTAAAGTGAAAGCAAGTTTATTAAGAAAGTGAAAGAATGAAGAATGGCTACTCCATAGGCAGAGTGGCCCATTGTTCAAATTTATTTGTGAAAGAAATGGATTGTTTGTTCTGTAGATCATCCCACATCTTGGATTTTGCTGTTTATATTCTACATGCCATTTGTCATGTTGTTTGTAAACTGGTGCTTATACCAAAAAGTTTGGTTAAATCCAGGGGGTTTTATGTGGTAAAAAATAATCTTTTCAGGAGATACATGAAATCTGCTTTTCTATTATGAAGTTAACATTGGTCAGAGTGTTCTGATCTCCTCAGGTTGAACTTCCCATTAAAAGCCTCTTTTGCACTTTCTCTAATGGTTTTAGCATTCTTTAGGTTCAGTATTTAGATGAGTTATTCATTGAGACCTACAACATGATAATAGTTTGATTTTATTATTTCTTCTTTATTTATTTATTATTTGAAGTTCTTTAATGGAATAGAAGTTACTCATATCAGCTATTTGGTTGCTCTCATACAGAGATCATGTAGGAAAGGTAGGATAAATGCTTGATTTTCTCTCTTTTTCTTTTTTTTAAAAAGTATTCAAATTAATAACTTGGTTCCTTAGCATTCTTCAAAATGGTCACTTATTCCATTTTATTTTGTTTTGTTTTCGATATCTGTACATTTATATATTATATCACATTTGATGTGCTTTAATCAATTCTAGGCATTTAAAAATGAAACACTTTTCCGTGTTTTGTTTGTTGTGTTTGTTAATAATTTGTTTTCAAAACTCTGGAAAATTTTCCAGTTAGTTTCTGAACTTGTTTTAACCAAACTCCAGTTACCTTTGAAAGCTCCTTTGCTTTCTGGTCAGAAAAGATGTTCTAGGCTCTTCCTGCACATTATTTACCTCAGGACTGAAAACCCTGATTTCCCTAAAGAGCTCTGACTTTTTCTGTGGGAAATGGTATTTAGATCTCACAATCTGGGTGCTACGGATGGCTATTGGTACTGGGTGTGTCATCGTCTCTAGACCTTTCAGTGGACAGAATTAGAAAAAACTTTTTTGTTGTTTTTTAAAGAAAAAATACCCTATATATTCATAGTGATCTTACACTATATTGGAATATTGAGATTATAGAGTTGCTTTTTTTTTTTTTTTTTACTTTACATTTCTACCTCTTCTCTCATACAGTAAAAATCCTGGTTCCCAATGACATGAACATATTATTTATGTACTTAGTCCTACTGTACATATTTTCAAAATAACAATACTAATATTATTACTAATGGTATGATAACTGGAAACCATTTAAGATTTCTTTGTTCTTTTTTGTGTATTTAAAATATGTTTTGCTTGAGCGGTATAGTCAAATTACAGTGTTTAAGGTCCCTTGGAATATTTCTACTCTCTATGGTTGTCAGCTCAATGCAATTATTTCACCAGTTTCACTTCAGTTGTGATTTTAAATATTTCTTTCATTTTTCTCAAATTTTGCTTTATAATTATGTAAAATATATTTATAGTTCCAAAGCCAAATCAATGGGCATGGTAGATTATGAGAGGTCTAGCTTTTTTTTTTCCTGTCCCTTCCACTCTGTTCTTTCTCCCCCATTAGAGAACAGTTTTTATTAGTTTTTGATTTATCCTTCTATTTAAAAATTAAGCAAATGATCTCATATAATTGTATTTTCCTCTTTCTTAGATAAAAGGGAGCATAATATACACACTGGTCTATAGTTGGCTTTTTTTCACATCATATATCCTGGAGATTACTCCATAATCAGAGCATAGTATGCCGCTATGTGATGTCTCATTTTCTGTTCAATCAATACTCTATTGACGGACATTTGGCTTGTTTCCAGTCCTTTGGCCATTTTCTTTTTAGTCTTTTGTTTTTTATTTTTGAGACAGGGTGCGATCGTGTCTCACAGCAACCTCAACCTCCCAGGCTCAAGTGATCCTCCTTCCTCAGTCTCCCCAGTAGCTGGGACTACAGACACGCACCACCATACCCAGCTAATTTTTATTTTTTTATTTTTTGTAGCGATGGCTGCCCAGGCCGTTCTTAAACTGGGCTCAAATGATATTCCTGCCTCAGCCTCCCAAAGTGCTGGGACTACAAGCATGAGACATCACACCCAGTCTTGTTTCCAATCTTTTGGAATTCCAAATGTTACTGCAACAAAATACCTTATTCACTTGTCGTATTGTATTTTTGCCAATGTACCTTTGCGATATCTTTCCAATGGTAGTATTGTTTGGTCAAAAGAAAATGAAATGCATAGGTTTTTGCTAGGTATTGCTATATTCTCTTATGTAGTGATCGTACCATCTTGCATTCTCTAGCAATGTGTGAGAATGTCTATGTCCCCACAGCCTCTCCAATAATTTGTTTTCAAAACTCTGCATTTTTAACATTCTGAGGGGTAAGAAATGGCATCTCAATTAAGGTTTTATTTGCTCCTTCTTTGTGATGAGTGAGGTTGAACATCCTTTCATATGTTTAAGAGACATCTGAACTTTTTTCAGTGCACTCTATTCATGTCTCTATTCTTTTTAGAAGTTCTTTATATTTTAGGATAATAACTCTTTGTTGCATATTGCATTTTTTCTTATTTTGTCATTAATCTTTTCCTTTGCTTATGCTATTTTATGCATTTAAAACTGGTAACTTTTAAAGTATTACATTGGGAAATGCCTCTTTTTCTGAAGAACTGAGATGTTTTCTCAGTAGGAACAATGAGACTCATGGAACTAATTTGTTTCATTTTTTACTTTGGCAGGAAAATTTTTATTTGAACAACCTGTATAGCTATGTAAATTTCATATCTTACACATCTAAAATGTTACCTATCTCACTTATTTCTAATGTCTGTATTACTACAGTCTGGATTTTTATTATTTAGTGTTTCTGTCATTTGATTTACAGTAGCATTTCTCATAGAAATCTAAGCCACTACAGATTCTTTGTTAAATAAATGTGGGTATTAATGAAGAGCAGGTTCTTCCAGTCACTAGTCAGCAACGTTAGGGGGCCGATGTGGTATAATGAGGATGGTAGTGGGGTCAGCATCAGAAAGCCTGGCTCAGTCCCTCACTTGCTCCATTCTTGGAACAGTGGCTCGATCACTACAGACATTTGAATTTTTTCATTTATTAAATGAATGTTTTAACTATATGATAGTATTAAGAAACCTTCTCAAATGAAAATTATGTCACACTTAACCATTTTAATATGCAAAGTGATCTGGTTTGCTGAAACACACAGAGGTTGGCAGAAGTTCTGGAATTCTTTACAATTTCACATACAGAAATTAATATCATCAAAGTGAAAAAGATGACTCTACAATCCTGGTATTCATCGCTCAGATGGTTCAGCCCTGTTTAAATAGTGTCAGCATGTGATGGCTCACAAGCACAGAGCTTGACACATGGGTGATTCATTTGTTTATCAATTGATACTTCTAGACTTGTAACTTTATAAAACTGGAAAATGTAAATCTTTTTTAATTTATGAGGGTGTCTAAAACTGCTCATAGTTATTTAAACAAAGTTTGGCTTCTTACGCCAAGGGCTCTGATCATTCTCCATAAATTATAGCATCTATACAAATGTAACATTATTTTTCCCTCTTATTTTAGAGTGTGGAGGTATCCTGACTGGTCCTTACGGTTCTATTAAGTCTCCGGGGTATCCTGGAAACTATCCCCCAGGAAGAGATTGTGTCTGGATTGTTGTAACTAGTCCTGACCTCCTGGTAACATTTACTTTTGGGACCTTGAGCCTCGAGCACCATGATGACTGCAACAAAGATTACCTTGAGGTAAATAATTATATTTAGATAGAACATATCACAATATGATTAGGACTCAGGGCACTATGGTCTAGCCATGCCCATGGATGACCCCAAAATATTAGCTGTAGTTAGGTGTGTTTCTCAATAGTCAGTCAATATCTAACTCTTGCAAAGTCTCTATTTTTAACTGTGCCTGTTTGTTGCTTCTTCTTCTGGGTTCCATTTGAATCTGGGAAACAGATTACCTTGCCCTGCTATGGTGTTACCTGGAAGCTCACACCCCTGCCATGAGAATGCAGAATTTATGAAATAAACACTCAGTAATAGCCATCTCCTTCAATGCAGATTCAAACCTTCAGTTGTCTGTGGTAAACTGGCAAGGTCTTTCACAGCTTAACTGTAGCATTCCACGAAGAGGCCGGGTGTGGTGGCTCAAGCCTGAAATCCCTGCACTTTGGGAGGCCAAGGTGGGCAGATCACTTGAGGTTAGGAGTTGGAGACAGCCTGGCCAACATGGTGAAAACCCATCTCTATTAAAAATACAAAAACTAGCTGGGCGAGGTGGCGGGTGCCTGTAACCCCAGCTACTCGTCAGTCTGAGGCAGGAGAATCGTTTGGACCCGGGAGGCGGAGGTTGCAGTGAGCTGAGATCGTGCCACTGCACTCCAGCCTGGGTGACAGAGTGAGGCTCTGTCTAAAAAAAAAAAAAAAAAAAAAAGAAAAAGAAAAATAATAGTGATTGTGTTGAACTGGGTTAGGTTCCTGGAATAAAGTAATCATTATTACTGAGAGGAGAGGTATCAGCCGAAGCTCCTTCTGCCTACCCATTAGTAAAAGATTAAAATATGGAGGAGGAGAAAAGGCTCTTATATTCAAATGCCGTTTGTACGTAGGTGCATCAAAAAGTGTTGCTCTTCATTTGTAGACTGACAAGATAATGGAGAAGATTGAGTTCCCAGGTTGTCCTGTATTTTTTATCACCATAAATCTCAGCCCCTTGCAGCAGTGTGAAAAAGACAATACGCATTTCCAAGTCCATTAGAGAGGAATAGAGTCAATGCAATTATTCATAAAGGATAGAAGGATGTGGTGTCAAAAAGGGGCTCTGCAAGTAAAAGTCATTAGTAATTCAGCAATAATGGATTTGAAACCTTTGGGAATGACTGGAAGATCTGTCTCTCTCTGGAAAATTTCTGCAAAATGGTCATTTAAATGTTGACAGAAAAGTGAGTTATCTTGAAATTAATTTTCAATAAATTCCATCAAGTTAAAATTAGAGGCTTTAAAAAATTCCTACACATTCATTTCTGGAGACCATATGGTAGAAAGTGTCAACCACTCTGACAATATTGAAATGTCTCTCATTTCTCTTTAAACTACAGTATTTCAAAGAACCAGTTAAATATTAGAATAAAGTTATGCTGCCATCTAACTTTGATCCCAGTAAGAAAAGTAATTTGAATAGACAAAATTGACCATATTAAAATATTCTTTAGTTCATTGACTCCTCGGTGGTTTATATAGTATAGAATTTGCAATTACAACAAAATTATAGAGAGATTGACATGATTACATCATAGATTAAAAACCAACAATTAGAAAAGGATTTCTAAGGTCACGTCATTATCATTGTAGTACTTACTTACTATCAAAGTTGCATTTTTAAATTCACTAACCTGTCTTTCTGTTGTGTCTAATCTGATGGCACTTCCTCTCTACCTCTGACCCTTCTGAAAACCTGGACCAAGTTATGAATCAGTTGGCATCAATGGTGTTCCTTCTTCTGTTTTCTTTGCTTATATTCATTTTCTTCTAGATCACTAAGAATTTATAATGAAAAAAATCAAAAGGGAAAGATCTTTGATTAGTAACATCATGACAAAAATTCTAACTATATGTCCAGCCTTGGAATTGAAATCCAGTCACAGGCCAGGCGCGGTGGCTCATGCCTGTAATCCCAGCACTTTGGGAGGCCGAGATGGTCAGATCATGAGGTCAAGAGATTGAGACCATCCTGGCCAACATGGTGAAACCCTGTCTCTACTAAAAATACAACAAATAGCTGGGCGTGGTGGCAGGTGCCTGTAGTCCCAGCTACTTGGGAGGCTGAGGCAGGAGAATTGCTTGAACCTGGGAGGTGGAGGTTGCAGTCAGCTGAGATCGCACCACTGCACTCCAGCCTGGTGACAGAGCAAGACTCCATCTCAAAAAAAAAAAAAAAAAAATTCAGACAGAGAGAAGGCATTGGGGTGATGGGAGAAGGAGACACACTTTGCTGAACCTCAGCCATGAGTTACATTTGGATGTGATGGGGAAACTTCCTTGAGCGATCACTTTTAAATGATAGATTTTATGAAGTTAATATCCAAAGTGACCTAGTTTGTTAAAAATCTGACCACTTTGAGCTTAATGATTCATCCTTTTGTTTTAGATTCGAGATGGTCCTTTGTATCAGGACCCCCTTCTTGGGAAGTTCTGCACCACTTTCTCTGTCCCACCGCTCCAGACTACTGGCCCCTTTGCCAGAATTCACTTCCATTCAGACTCCCAGATTAGTGACCAAGGCTTCCATATCACCTACTTAACATCACCTTGTAAGTAACCTACCAGTTGGGGGCTTAAGAGGGATTTGAAGGCCAATGCTATGCTTACATCTGTTTTATATTTTAATGTGATTCAGAGGATGACTGACTGTCTTAGACCAAGAACATTTCTTTATAAATATTTCTCTCATAGCTTCATATTTTTTCTTTATCTTCCCAATGCTCTATTATTAATACTGCAATACCCTTTGATCCCTAAATTATGGGATCCACATCATGATAAAGATGTATGAGGCACCCAAACTTAAATAATTCAGGGCACCAGGTCCCTCGTGGTGTTTGATGTTTAGTTGTGAGAGAGGTTTGTGCATGCGAGCAGTGCAGTCTCTCTGGATTTTATCCTCGGGTCAAGTCCAGCTGCACAGGGGCTGGGGCTGGCTTCCAGCATCACAGTGTCCCAGACTCTAGAGCTTCACTTCCAGCCAAATACTATTAGCTGTTAGGACCTCAGTTGCTTTGATACCTTAAAACAAACAAACAACAAAACACAGGAAATACTCTATGATTTGGATTTTTTTAGGGAAGTGGAGGATTTTGTTTATGACATCTATTATTGTGCCCTTAATAAATGTTCTCAGAAAAAGTACCTTTTAAGTTTCAATATCAGGAAGAGTAACAAAGAACATCTTTACTTGTCCCCTTTCTTCATTTCCTTTTCTTTCCACGGAATCTGGTGCCAACCTCCTGTTCCCCTTTCAATTGTTTTCCGTGCAAATCAACTCCCCCTGGCTACATCTTGCTATTCTGTATTCATTTTTTCTTTAATCTGCTTCATGTATACAGTTATGTAGTTTATTTTGTTACATGTTTTTAATAACCATCTCAAATCTTATTGAAATGAAGCAGAGCATTAATGTATTTAAAAAGCAACTTATAGAAGAGAATGGCAGATTGGAAGCTAGATCACACATCTCTGCATCTATTTCTTTAAGCCACTACAGAGATGTCCCACAACACATCAAACTGAAAATCTTAAAATTAGAGGCACAAGCCTATAGAGGGTGAATAAAATGGATATGTGCTTGTGTGTGTGTGTGTGTGGGTAAATTTTTAGAAATTGGATCCAATGCCTGCAAGCCAGAGCAATGCCATTGCCATGACCTGTTCGTCTCTTCCCTGTTCTTAGCGGATCTGCGTTGTGGTGGGAACTACACGGACCCAGAGGGTGAACTCTTCTTGCCTGAGTTGTCTGGGCCTTTCACTCACACCAGGCAATGCGTCTATATGATGAAGCAGCCCCAGGGAGAACAAATACAAATCAACTTCACCCACGTGGAGCTGCAATGCCAGAGTGACAGTTCTCAGAATTACATTGAGGTAACTTTCACTACTCAATCGCCCTTAGATGACATTCATCAACATTTTTATATTCTGCAGAGTGGTGGTCTTCAAAAGATTGTTGGGCCACCAGCAGCCAGAATACCTGAGAGCTTGTTAGAAATACAATAATAACTAAGCTCTAATGACTAAGGTGCAGGCAAATAAGGCTGATAGGATGTACTAATAAGATACAGATTTATTATCTAGAATAATTAATACAGGAAAGAACTCAACCCAGGGAAGTGAAGGGATTTGCCCAGATGACCCAGCTAGTCAAGTGGTAATAAAGTTTAAGTGTTGAATGACCCTTGTTTTGGAGGTTAGGGTTTTTCCTTCCTTTATTCTGCTTGCTCTCCTCCAGAAATCTTTAATTTTGATTTAAGTGTGGGTAATGATTGTAATACAGGGAATATTTGAAACAGAGACAGGCTGTTTTTGTTTGCTGGGCCTGGTATTTCTTATGCTAAATTATTGGTCAAGCCACAAATTAAAGTGTTGAGCAAGATAAAACATTGTTTTTTTGGGCATAATCATTTTACATAAACTAGAGAAGAATTTACAATTTTGTTTGTTTGTGCAAGTTAAATCCATTTATTCATCCAGGAAAAACCTATGTGACCTCCTGTCCTCTTCTTTCTACATTTAGACAGAGGAAACAGAACTTTAGCATAAGATCTAGCTAGACTTAGTTGAAGTGCATTGACCATAGCACTACAGCAGTATGTATGTATGTATGTATGTATGTATGTATTTATTTATTTTGAGACGGAGTTTCGCTCTTGTTGCCCAGGCTAGAGTACAATGTCATGATCTCAGCTCACCACAACCTCTGCCTCCTGAGTTCAAGCAATTCTTCTGCCTCAGCCTCCTGAGTAGCTGGGATTACAGGCATGTGCCACCACGCCCGGCTAATTTTGCATTTTTAGTAGAGATGAGATTTCTCCATGATGGGCAGGCTGGTCTCAAACTCCCAACCTCAGGTGATCCTCCGGCCTCAGCCTCCCAAAGTGCTGGGATTACAGGCATGAGCTACTGCAACCGGCCTGCATTTTTTTTAATCCAGAAATTTTTATTTAAGATCATTTCAGAATGGGTATATTTATTCAATTTAGGTTTTCTAAAGTCTCTTATAAAGTATATTAAAGTTTTACACTACGGAAGAATTTCAAATATTTTTATGTAAATCAAAATTAAATTATTAACCCTTTTTTTTTTAACTTTTGAGAACAGCAAAAATAGCTTTCAATTAGAGAGTGCTTCCTGTACTCCAGGCACTATTATAAGACTTTAAAATAGTATAACAAATTAAATAGATAATGATCATTGTCAGCTTACTGCCTGCCATGTGTGGTAAGTGCTTTTCGTGAGTTATTTCATTGAATCCTCTCAACAACCATTATTATTTCTGTTTTAATCTTAGGAAACTGTAGCCCAGAGAAGTTACTTGTCCATGGTTACATGTCTAGCAAGTAATGGAGCTGGGATTCAAATTTAGGAGATCTAGTTATACTTATCTTCAGTAAGAACAGAAATGCAATTGTGTGACGTTGACTACAAGAGGTGTCTCATCTTCCATAGGGAGGAAGGTCTTGTGAATTACCCAATTCCATACCTGGCTCTCCGATCACGAGACTAAAACATGAAGCCGAGCATCATGATTTTCTCAGATACGCAAGAATGTAACTATAATTTTCAGGGAAATTTGGGGCCCTTTCTGTTAAAGCCTTCATGGTGATTCTCTGGTTCTAAAGAACTATCAGTACCTCTGAATGGTTCATCCTCTCAGGCTTTGCAGAACACTAGAACTGAATTTCAGTGAGCGGTTCCATGAACTCCTCTGAATTCTTCTGAAAAGTTTGCACAAAAAATCATAAAACTGGCTTTGGAAGTTTTAATTTCATAAACCAGAATGGTGGAATGTTTTGTAGCCAGAAGGGGATTAAAGTTAGTTCACCTAACTTCTTATTTTAGTTCATTTGTCAGATGACCGTATAACCTTGGACAATTCTTTATCTGGATCTTTCAGTTCCTACTTCAGTAAGATGTCCTATCTATTTCTCTAAACTTTGGGGGTAGAATCAAGGAAATAAATGATAAAAAGAAGCTTGAAGTGTTAAAAAAAATAATGCAAATGCAAGGTTTTTCTGGAACAAAGTTTTAACTCTAGCCTTGAATTTATCAGTTCAGAGACAGCCGATGTGGCTGTCACAGTTGGCCAGCGAGGTATCTACATTCTGATGTAACCACATATCCTCAAAGTCTTGACCAAATTTCCCTCAAGGATTGTTGATGGAAAAAAAAACTGTATTATTCAGAAGGAGAGGTCATGTACGGTGATTTAAATATTAATAGATAGATTTTTATATTATATCTTTGACCAACCAACCTAAAGGAATACAACCAACCTGTAGAATTTTGGCATCAGCAAGGACCTTAATTTTACAAATGAGAAAATTGAGGCTCACAAAGGTCAAACTCTAGTTATTGTCAAAGTAAAACTTAGATGTACCTCTATGAGATTCTAGATGGACGTACATTGACTTTGGTTAAAGCTCTTGTCTTTAAATCATCTCTATCCATTGGGAAAATTTGTGAACTGAACCCGTTTTCTAAAAAGTATATTCACTTCTCTTGTTGTTCTTCAGATAGTGGTCATACAAGAAAGTGATACAGGAACCAAATTCTAATGACATTATTATGACTCAATATATTGTTCCCTAAAATGATGTCTTCATTTTTTAAAGCTATCTCTAAAAAATGAAATATTTATGAAAAAGAATTAAAAAAAGAATGTTGGTATTTCAAATACTTTGGTGGTTTAGAGGGGGGTTGACTTTGTCCTTTACTGACTCCATTGATGAGTAAAAGCAGTCCACCCAAAATTTTAGAAAGAGTGGAGAAGAGAAAAGAAATTCTACAGAGATGTGGGAGAATGATCCTAAGGACATTTACTTTGCATGTGAATAGGTGTACTTTTAAGAATCCTAGATCTTCTCTTTGTGTGGTTTTAGGTGCCTTGGTTGCCAGGCAAACATATCCTTCAAATGAAGATTAAGGTACCATTGCTGAGTGTGTATCTTTCACAGATACTGTGGTTTTGAAAGACTTACTTTTGCTCAGTAAGAGAGTTCCATAAGCACTCATTAAAGAATAGATTTTAACTGCAAAAGATAAGAATGATATTGACCCAGTGTAGCATATCTTTCTTTTTTTTTAACACAAGGAACACACATTAACATGTTAATTCTTAGATTTATATATCTCTCTTAAGTGAAGTTTCTACTTTTAAAGATATACATTACCCATGGAAGATGTGACATGGCTACAAATGAATGAATACAAGAACAGATCAATTGTTAGTTCATCTGTTTTTGTCGAAGAGAGCTTTTAAATTGTATAGAATAGTTCAATGAAGGTGATGGAAGCATCTTTCCAGAATAAAAAGCAGCACCTCTCATTAATATTTCATAAGTGATTTAAGCCATCAGAACTCTGAGTGAAGGACACATAGGTAGTAATGAAAGTTTAATTTTAAATCCCAGAGAAGGGAAGTTGTAGGCTGAATAATAAATTCAGAAGGCTATACGATGTTAAGGTGAAGGCTTGAGGTAGGATACGAAGGGAAATGAGTAGAATTGTTCACCCATCAAATCTCCTTGACCAATCCCAAAGTATCTGCCTCCTCTCCCCAGAGACACTGAGGAACCAGAAAGGGGGCTCTACAAGAGACGCAGGGAGAGCGATGTGCCTTCTGGAGAAAGAGAAGGGCTTTCGAGAAGTTGTTGTTTCTTAGATGTGGAAAGCAAATACAAACAGAAAAGTTGAAAAATATAATCAATAAGACAGGAAGGAGTAATTTACATTGAATTTTATTTCTGAAATCTAGGGAATATACCTGTTCTACAAGTGGCGTTGAACCCTAATTCATCATATTTTAGACCTCTATGGCAATCCCAGTAAATTAACAAAGCAGAAATTGTACATCTCTTCACAATATAACATAACCCAAGATTATTTATAAACATTTTAAAATGCCCAAGTGTGTGGAAGTATGTGAACTCTCCAAAATAATCATTGGCTTGAGAAAGAAATAAAAAATGAAAGACTACATAGAAAATGACAAACAGGAAATGCTGTGTATCAAAACCTGTGAGATGTGATGAAACTCAACTCCCTGGTAAAATCTTTAAGATTTAAAAGAAGAGAACCAAAATAATTGGGAAAGCAGGAGAGCAGAAGCTGAGGCAGGAAGGTCTGTCCTCCGTCTGAACCTTTTCTTTCACCACCTTCCCCTGCATCCTTCCCTCTACTTCTCCCTCCCCGCTACACTCCTGCTTCAGCCTAAGCAGCCCTCCCGCATCTCCTGCATGTCTTTAGATGAATGCAAATTCACAAAGGACCTCCTTTTGTGACTTCTTAGGCATTGAGATGATTCCACTATGAGCTTGGGATTGGGTGGGGGAGAGCCAGGACTTGTGGAATGCATGAGGCACTTGCTTCCCTCAAGTGGACCTGCTGCTCAGAGTCTCATGGCTGCAATTCACAGACTACACACCTAAATGTCAGAAAAAGAATAAGGCCTGGAGCAAGCAAACACACCACATAGGCTGAATAGTATTGTGTTTTTCAGTTAAGTACATATTGAAATTAATTGTAGGTCAGAAAAATATCTTTCTAGAGAGGGTAGGATAAAGGGAAAAGGGGGAGATCCTCAAGAGTTTGTACTCTTGGCCAGGCATGGTGGCTCATGCCTGTAACTCCAGCACTTTGGGAGGCTGAGGTGGGTGGATCACCTGAGGTCAGGAGTTTGAGACCAGCCTGGCCAACGTGGTGTGAAACCCCATCTCTACTAAAAATACAAAAAAGTAGCCAAGTGTGATGGTGGGCACCTGTAATCCCAGCTACTTGGGAGGCTGAGGCAGGAGAATCACTTGAATCCAAGAGGTGGAGGTTGCAGTGAGCTGAAATCACGCCACTATACTCCAGCTTGGGTGACAGAGTGAGACTCCATCTAAAAAAAAAAAAAAAAAAAGAGTTTGCATTCTTGAGCATATTGGATTTAGGGTTTTGACAGAGACTAGGAACATTTGGTTAGACTCTGAGCTCTGTTGTTGTGAGCACAGTTTTTCCACAACTGCTGGACCATCGTGATGCTTTTTAGTGAAGGAAGAAGATAGGCCATTCCTCTAGTGAAATAATTCTGTAGGTTGGAGTAGTGGGAGGCAGGAAACAGACTGAGAGATGATAGAACACCTAATTTGGAGTTGTGAGAACTTGTAGAGAATACATTTTTGCTGTGTTTGAAGGAGTTGCATGCTCATGTAGAAGCTGCAAACCCATTGAACATGCGTGATGTAGAGCAGTAAGCAGGAATAAGAGGATATGGATGGACCATTATCAAGAACATTACAAATTCCTAGGTCAAATAGAGGGTATGGCTGGTACTTTTCTGATATAAAATGGAAACAATATTGCATGGAAACATGATAAAACCCTTCAGCTCTCTGTGTTACTAAAGGCAAGATACCTGTAAGCCACAGCTTCCTCATGTGTAATAGGGATAGTACTAGTAGTACTAGTAGAAAGAGACCATTCATTCATTTATCTATTCATTCTCTAAATATTTATCAAACCACTTAGGTTTCAGTCACCATGCTAGGGAATGGGTATGTAATATAGATATTAAATAAGTAAGCACACACTACATAATTTCAAGAGGAGATAAGTATGGGCAGGAAAGAAACAGTACTGTAAGAGAAAAGAACAGAGCTACTGACTTCAGTGGAGCAGTCTGAGTTTGCTTCTCAAGGGTCTTTGTATGGCTAGCTCATTCTCATCTGTAGACCCTGTATGTAGGATCTGCAGATGAGGAGTGAGCAATGCAAAGAACTGAGAGAAGGAGGACTCCAGGTAGTGGTGCTAACCCAGCCCTAGAGACTGAAGTCAGAAAAAATAAACTAAAATAATTGGAAATAGACCAGGGTGGCTGGAATCACACAGGGATGGAAAAGAGAAATATGAGTTAGGCAGGAGCTAGACCCTGAAGGGTCTTGTAGACCGAGATAAAGAGCCTGGGTTATATTCTATATGCAAGGACAAACAATTAGAATGTTCCTTGTCACATTGTGCCTGTCACACAATGAATGCTCACTAAAGTTAACATCATGATGATAATGACGATGATGATGATGATGATGGGGAGGAGAAGAGAGGGCAGGAGAAGGTGACCTACTGGAGTTTGCAATCATGAGGGAAGGCACTTCTAGGTAAAACTTATTCATGTGTTCTTGATTTTAGAATATCAGATCTTAAAAGATCAGATTATATTTATTAATAGAGATGTTAGAAGGGACACTTTCACAAGGCATGAAAAGGTTTAAAATACCAACTCTAAAAATCATGAAACATACTAATAAAGAACAAAGGATAATAACCAAAGTAAATGATTTTGAGATCCTAAATGGCTTCTCTCATCTCTTATCCTCCTCACCCCTTATTCTCTCACTGGGGGCAGGGCCTCATTCCTCTCCTGCTCACCCAGATTAGCCCAAGGCTCCTCCCTAAGGTCCAGTCTTTACTTAGCTAAGATGTATGTCAGCCTGAAGCTCACTTCACAGAAAGCCACATGTTAAACACTACCATACGGTGTGGTTCTCTTTTCAGCTCTCAGATGGACTAAGCGTAAGTGCCAGCATATTTGAATTGCTTTGAATTAAAATTTAATGCTTATTATTTTAGAAATTATAGTATAAAACCAAATCTGGATTCATAGCAGAGGAAGACAAATGAGCGTGCGTATTAAGACATGGCTTTGGGACTTGACTCATTCCAGATGTTAAAGCTCACGACTCACTAGGCTCAAAAGCCCACATTTAAAATTTCATGTAAATGGTGTTTCTCAGCAAAGTAAATTTTAGTTCTCTCTATAGAAAATCATTCCTTTACAAAAACTCGTTTTTTTTTATGAGTAGTTTCTCTTCTGGAACTAGTTTAATCTGATGAATGTAAAAATTGGAAGCCATTTGGAATACACCATATGCTGAACATCCTGGGACCTGAAACCTTCAGTGTTTCCTGGACGAATAAGGCAATCCACAAGAAATCTGAACCTGGTCCGTGAAACACTAGAATTTTGAATTGGTTCTTGTTGTTTCCTTGCAAATGCGATTCACTAAAAAGAATGAATTCACTGTGACTCCTCTGCAAGTGATCACGGCATGGCTTCACCTGACTTAGAAAAATTCAGTTTTTCTGCACAAACCAGACTCAGATATTGGTCATCTTTCTCTAGGTTATGCTGCAATAACAAACAATTAGTAGCAACAACCAGAAAAATCAAAAACAATAACAAACCAAAAGCGTCTGTGGCTTTCAATAACGTGTTTATTCTTTGCTCACAATAGCAGGTTAGTTTTGGATCCATTGCAGTTCTGTTTCCTATGTCAGTTTCCTGTGCCTTCACCGTCCTGAGACCCAGGCTCTAGAGCTTGCTGGGGGAAAAGTAAAAGATGGTTGAATTATGCAGTGACTTCCAAAGCTTCTATGTGGAAATTGGTGTATCACTTTTGCTCACACTCTGTTGGGCAAAGCAAGTCCTATGGCTAAGCCCATAGTCAATGGGAAGATTATGTATTAATTCTCCGTATGGCAGTATTGCAAGTCACATGGCAAAAAGCATAGATAGTCAATCCTTTTACAGGAAGGGAAGTGAATAACTATGTAAAATAATGCCATCCATCCCAGTTCATGAGCATAAAGGAAAGAGGTTTTTTTTTTTTTTTTTTTGGTGGGGGTGCAAATTTATCAAGTCCTAGATTATTGAACGCAATACATGCTTCAGAGGTAGCTAGGGTCACTTTAGAACATTTGATGAATTTTATTCTAGTGTCTCTTTCAAAGGAGTTGTAGTTAAAGTATTGCCATGTCTAGAATCCAGGGAGAATACAGGCTTTCAGAATTAATAAGGTTTCATTTCCACAGAGAGAGAGAGAAACAGAGCCAAAATCAATTGCACCTTCTAGGTTCAGGGCCCTTGAGCCCTATGAGTTCCTCTTAAAACATTTGGACTACAGCTGCCTTTCTCCTTGTTAAAATCCTTGAATTTCATTAGTTGGGGCCCAGGGGAATGGCCCACTTTAGCTTGCAGTGATGCTATTTGGCTGTTTTTTTTCCTTCTTGTCATCTTCTAATGGGCGAAATAGAAAAGAGAGACTACAATCTTCGAAGAAGCAAATAGAACCCTGGAGGATTAGAGAGCAGGAAGATAACTTTGTGTTTCATGCTTTCTAGTTTTCAAGAACTGCAGTATGTCTGTATCTCTAACAAAAACTGAACCATCATACTGTACCTTAAAATTAATGAATCAACAAGAATTTGTCAAATACCTATTTGCAAAGTTTTTTTTATTAGATGCTGAAGGGCAAACAGAAATTTTTCCCTTCCCTCAGAGACTTACTGTTTGGTTAGAGATAAATTTAGCATAGCTTTACTACAATATGTGAAATTTGTGTTACAGATGTTGTAAGAGCTCAGAGAAAGGAACTAGTATGAGCCTGAGTCAGTGGAGAGGCATGTGATTTTTCATGTCTGTGTCAGACTCTATCATATGGCTGAATCATTATTTATTTAATCACCTCACTATTATTAGGCCTTTAGAATGGTTTCAATTATTGTTATTATAGAGCAGACTTTGATGTGGATCTGTATATGTCTTTTCCTGCATCTTGAATATCCTTGTGATACAGTGTTAGAAGTGAAATACCCTTAATACATATTGTCAGTTTATTTTCCAGAACTTTATACTTCCACCAGTTATGGATGAGAGTAACTGTCGCCACATCCCTACCAACTTTGAATATCATCCTTTTAAAATCTTTCCTTTACTGGCTAGGCACGGTGGTTCACATCTGTAATCCCAGCACTTTAGGAGGCCAAGGCAGGCAGATCACCTCAGGTCAAGAGTTCAAGACCAGCCTGGCCAACATAGTGAAACCCCATCTCTACTAAAAATACAAAAATTAGCTGGGCGTGGTGGCGTGCCCTTGCAGTCTCAGCTATTTGGGAGGCTGAGGCAGGAGAATTGCTTGAATCTGGGAGGCGGAGGTTGCAGTGATCCGAGATCGTGCCACTGCACTCCAGCCTAGGTGACAGAGTGAGACTTCATCTCAAAAAAAAAAAAAAAAAAAAAAAAAAAAGAAAACAAAGAAAAATCTTCTCTTTACTACCTGTTTGCCTTGGCCTAGATAACTCCTACTCAGCTTTCAAGTCTCCGCTTAAATGTTATTTCCACTGAGTTTTCCATAATCCCCTGGGTGAGTTCAGAGTCTTTGGTTAACCCAGTGGTTCTCTACAATTTAAGACTTTTTAATATCACTCCTTGATTATTCAGAAATGAAATACACTGATTTAACCCCACTAGACACATTATATTTAAAAATATGTAAAGTTGTAAGAATAACATTAAGAAAAAATAGAGTAACAGAATAAAATCACATTTATTTCAGTATCTGAAAACCTAGGCAAGCTGTACTTGAAGACAAAATAAAGCAGTTGATTGTCTGGACCCCAAATTGCTATGAATATGACAGTACAAATGCAGGCTGACACAGTTATGTGGGTTGGTGACTAATTTTTCAGAAATAGTGACTAACTCTTGACAGATTTCCAGGAGAAAGAATCTTCAATTTACACTCTACTTGTAATCCTGGAAAATTCAGTATGCATTAAAATTGCACAAAACTACTTTGCGCTTAATATGTAAAATAGAGCGAGATTTTATACCCAATAACAGAACTTTCACTTATGTGAATGTCACACAGGTTCAGGAGAATTCTTGTTGTGTGTGACGCTCACATTTCAGGCTGCCTCGTGTCTTTGGTCCCTTGCTACTTACTAAATGCCAGTAATGCCCCATGATTGCTGTGATAATAATTAACACAAAACCAAAAAGGTACTCTCACACATTTCCCAAATGCTAGATTGTGGTCCCTGCTGAGAACCATTGGTTAGGTAACAATGAAGTATCCTGCGCTTCCCCAAAAACCGCAGTCATCATACTTTTCAAAAATGTTCCTGCCTATTGTAAGTTCCTTGTGAGCAGTGACTGTTTCATGGTATTGTCACCTGCACAGTTCCTGGCATTTATTCATGCCTTGATAATGTTAATGAAGTGAATGAATTAATATTTGGATGTCTGTATCCTTCAGAATAATTGTACTGAACAGCGGCGGTATATATATCCATCGAATAATTCCTGCTCATAGTAGCAAGCCTCCAGTGTTTCACCTCCAAAAATGTCCAGAATAACAACAGCTATCCTTAGTCAACATTTTCCATTACCAAACATTTGGCTAAGGAATTCACACTATTGTTTCATCTGTTTGCTTCAACAATCCCATGAGCTTAGATAGAGTAACTTGCTCAAGGCTATTAAGTGAGGTGGTTTGTAAGTGACAGAGGTAGGTTTTGAACCCAAGTCCATAGACTGTATTCATGGCCACTATACTATAAGAGCTGGCTATTTGGCCGGGCGCAGTGGCTCACGCGTGTAATCCCAGCACTTTGGGAGTCCGAGGTGGGTGGATCACCTGAGATTGGGAGTTTGAGACCAGCCTGACCAACATAAAGAAACCCCGTCTCTACTAAAAATACAAAACTAGCTGGGCGTGGTGGCACATGCCTGTAATCCCAGCTACTTGGGAGGCTGAGGCAGGAGAATCACTTGAACCCAGGAGGCAGAGGTTGCGGTGAACTGAGATCACGCCATTGCACTCCAGCCTGGGTGACAAGAGCGAAACTCCATCTCAAAAAAAAAAAAAAAAAAAGAGCTGGTTATTGATTTAAAATCAGTAGTCTATTATATGAAGGAAATTCCTTTTTTTTCTAATAAAACAGGAATGCTAACAATGTTTTTTGAATTTATGGAGTTATCATATGGCTTATCTTATCTGATGTACTGAGGAAGTTAATTTATAGTTTATAATTTCTAACCTTTCTTGCACTATTATTATTCCCATATTTGATCTGGTATATAAGCTGGCAATGGACTGTGAATTTATTTTTCTAGAACTGTGTTTAGGATTTGTGTATCTATATTAATAGGTGACATCAGTCTATAGTTTTTATTTCTATAATCTATGTTGGGATTTGGTAACAGCGTTCTAACAAAAATTATTTGGAAATTATTCTATGTTTGAGGATGGCTTAGAATAAATTATACATGGGAATTATCTCTTCCTTAAAAGTTTTAAAGAATGTACTAAGTAGAGCATCTTATGGGAGATTTTTCTTTTTGGGGGTTGAGGGTGGGATGGGAATAATTATTTGATAATGTTTTCAATTTTATTTATGACTTATGTCTGTTCAAATCTTATTTTTCTTCTCCTTCAGATAATTTTAATGTTATACTTTTTCTGAAAATAACCCATTAAAAACATTCATAGAGTTGTACATAGATTTCACATTTAAAAAAATCTTAGTATCTGTGTCTTTGTCATTTTCAATTTTGTATATTTGTGCTTATATATTTATTTTCTTTTTAGACTTGCCAGAGATTTGTCTTTTATATCCCCACCCATAACCTTCCTCAAAAAAACAGTTCTTGAATGTATTTATGAATACCACATGATTTTGTATTTCATTTATTAAGTTTTGCTCTTCTTTTTACTGTATTCTTCCTCATTTTAAGGATTTTTTTCTAACTTAAAAAAATTGTACATAGAGCTGGGTCTCACTGTGTTGCCTAGGCTGTCTCCAATTCCTCTCACCTTGGCCTCCCAAGGTGCTCAGATAATAGGTGTGTGCCACTGTCCCTGGCCTTCTTTCTAAGTTTTTAAGTTGACTCCTTACATTCTTTTACTTTCTCTCTCTTTCATCAACTTTTCTTTTTTTTCCTTTTTTCTTTCAATGGCAAAAGTAGTTTAGTCCATAACTTTCTTTGATTGCAGATTTGGCTAACACGTGTATTTTTTCATAGGTAATATTCTCATTTTTTATTGTTTTCCAAGTAGTCTAAATTGTGAATTTATTTCCTCTTTGACATTGTGAAAATTATTAGGAGAACATTCTTTAAATTCTTGTGCTTTTGGACTTTATTGGCTTAGGATTTTATCAGCATTTCATGTTATTGCATTGTGCTTAAAAATGACCTACTGCTTTAGAAAATAATAGAAATATGTAACTCAAATTGGATTATCATTCATTTTGAATCTGCCATTTTTTCATCTCCAAGTAACGCCACCATTGCCGACGTAAGTTTCTTTATTTGAATTACATCTCTATTTTATTTTTCTCTTTAGGTTCGAGATGGTGAAACCTTACTTGGAAAAGTCTGTGGCAACGGAACCATCTCTCACATTAAATCCATTACTAATAGTGTCTGGATCAGGTTTAAAATAGATGCTTCTGTTGAAAAAGCTAGTTTCAGAGCTGTTTATCAAGTCGGTAAGGAAACATATAATTTTTAAATGTCTAATTTGCCTGATTGTAATATTTTAATTCTTCAAAATAATTTAGTCATTTTATGTCCTCAAGTGTTAAGTGGAAAATATTCTCATAGAAATGTTATATTCGGTTATCTCCTCAGGCAGTATTAGATTTTGCAATAAAATTGAGATAAAATTATTAATATCTGGACAAGCACTACTATAATTTTTATGCTTACAGCTTGCGGGGATGAATTAACTGGAGAAGGGGTCATTCGCTCGCCTTTTTTTCCTAACGTGTATCCTGGAGAAAGAACCTGTAGGTGGACCATCCACCAGCCCCAAAGCCAAGTCATTCTCCTCAACTTCACTGTCTTTGAAATTGGAAGTTCTGCCCACTGTGAAACAGATTATGTTGAGGTAAGAGGGAAAAAATCTTTGAATTTGTATTTGGTTGTATATTATAAAAAATATTATGGGTTGTTGTCTTCAAATCTGTTATAGGAAATGAAAGTAGTTTATGTAGACCAATATGTCTTATGGATACATATGTAAAAATCCTCAGCAAAATACTGGTTCAGTGAATCTAGCACAAAAAGAGGATTTATATACCATGATTAAGTGAGATTTGTCCCGAGAATTCTAGGTTGATATAAAACCCCAGAATCAGTTAATGTGATACATGGTACCAATAAAATAAAGAACAAAAACTCCATGATCACCTCAATAGATGTGAGATCTGGATTTTGCTGGATTTGACAAAATTCAACATCCTTTCATGATGAAACACTCAACAAACTAGGAGTAGAAGGAACCTTCCTTAATCTCATAATGGACATTCATTTAAAAACTCACATCTAACATCATATTTAATTATGAAACACTAAATGCTTTGCCCCTATGGTCACAAAAAGACAAGAACGTCTGTTCTCACTACTTCTATTCAGCATTACACTGGAAATTCTAGCTAGAGCAATTAAGTAAGGAGAAGAGATAAAATGCATCCAGAATGAAAGGGAACGAGTAAAATTCTCTCTATTCACAGATAACATGACCTTGTATATAGGAAATCATAAGGAATCCACACACATAAAAAACTATTAGAACTAATCCATTCAGCAAGTTGTGGGTTATGAGATCAAAATATAGAAATCTTTCTTTTTCTATACACCAGCAATGAACAATTTGAAAATGAAATCAAGGAAACAATTCCATTTACAATAGCATTAAAAAATAATAAACATGAAGGAATACAGTTTTAAAAATAAGTGTAAAACTTGTCCTCTGAGACTATAAAACGTCCTTGAAAGAAATTTAAAAAGACCTAAATAAATGGAAAGACATTTAATGTTCATGGATTAGAAGACAATATTGTTAAGATGGCAATACTCCCTAAAGTGAGCTAAAGATTCAATTCAATCCCCATAAAAATCACAGCGGGCTCTTTTAAAAAAATACATAAGCTGATCGTAAAATTCATATGAATATGCAAGGGAACCAGAATAACCAAAATGTTCTTGAAAAATTACAAAGTTGAAGGACTCACACTTCCTGATTTCAAAACTTAGAACAAAGCTACAATAATCAAGACAGTATCTTATTGAAGTAAGGATATAAATATAGATCTATGGAACACAATTGCAAGTCCAGAAGTGAACACATACTTTTATGGCCAATTGATATATGAAAATGATGCCAAAACATATCAATGGAGAAAAATCATTTTTTCAACAAATGGTGCTCAATAGCCACATGCAAAATTATGGTGCTGGACCCCTTCCTTATAGCATACACAAAAATTAACTAAAAATGGATTATAGACCTAAATGTCAGAGCTAAAACCATGAAACTCTTAGGAGAAACCTAGGAGTAGTCTCTATGCCCTTCAGTTTAGGCAAAGCCTTCTTAAATATGACACAAAAAGTACAAACAAAAAAAGAAAAAAGAAAAATAACTTCCTCAAAATTAAAAACGAATAACTTGATTTTTAAAATGGGCAAAGGAGGCTGAGCACAGTGGCTCACACCTCATCCCAGCACTTTAAGAGGTCAAGGTGGATGAATTACTTGAGCTCAGGAGTTCGAGACCAGCCTGGGCAACATAGTGAGACCCCATCTCTACAAAAAATTTTAAAAATAGCTGAGTGTGGTAATACACGCCTGTAGCCTCAGCTACTCAGAAGGCTGTGGTAGGAGGATCACTTGAGCCTGGGAGGTAGAGGCTGCAGTGAGCTATGATTGTGCCATTGCACCCTAGCCTGGGTAACAGAGTGAGACCCTGTATCAAAAAAAAGAAATGCCAAAAACAAAAGGACACACCCATAGGATAGCTATAATAAAAAGAGTCAGATAATGGTGTGGACAAGGATGTGGAGAAATTGGAACCTTTATACACTCCTGGTGGAGATGTAAACTGGTACAGCCACCTTGAAAAACAGTTGGCAGTTCCTCAAAAAGTTAAACATAGAGATACTATCTGATCCAGCAATTCTACTTTTAGATATATTCTCAAGGGGAATGAAAATATATGTCCACACAAAAATTTGTATGTGAATATATCTACAGTCATCATCTATAATAACATATACAAATAGCAAAATGCAATCATTATTTTTAATTTTAAAAGTAGAAACAACTTAAGTGTCCATCAACTGGTAAACGGATAAATAAAATGTGGTATATCTTTACAGTGGAATATTACAAGGCATTAAAAAAGAATGAAATAATGATCCATGCTACAACGTGGATGAACTTTGAAAATGTTATACAGTGTGAAAGAAGCTAATCACAAAAGACCCCATATTGTATAATCCCATTTTGTTTGAAATGTCCAAAATGGGCAATCTACAGAGACAGAAAGTAGATTAGTGGCTGCCTGGGGCTGTGGTTTCAGGGGAATGAGGAGTGACTGCTAAAGGATATGAGTGTTTTTTGGGGGGTGACTAAAATGTGCTAAAATTGATTGTATTCTCAAATTGATTTGTACTCCATTAAAAACATTTCAGAAATAATTATTCTTGAAGCAGTTTTCAAAATTGATATACAACATATTTGAACATATCTTCTCTAATTTTAGATTGGTAGCAGTTCCATTTTGGGTTCTCCTGAAAATAAAAAGTATTGCGGTACAGACATACCTTCATTTATAACATCTGTGTACAATTTTCTTTATGTCACATTCGTGAAAAGTTCTTCTACTGAAAACCATGGTTTCATGGCTAAGTTCAGTGCTGAGGATTTGGGTAAGAGACTGTTCCCTTTTTTTTTTCCTCCTCTTGGGCTTGTATCAGAATAAGTGAATGATAGAAATAAATTATATGAAAATCATCTGTACTGTGAAAAATTTTAAAGTACACTCAAAGACAAAGAATGTATATTTTCTAATCAACATTTATATCAAAAGTTAATTGTTACTTATTAATAAGAGAAAAATCAGGTTATCTTAAGTGGCAACTAAGAAACATTTTTCCTTTTAATCTTTGAAGAGGTTATTATCAGAGCCTTTTAATTTGAAATCCAGGTAGCTTGGTTACTTGCTGCAGTAATTATAATTTTTATTTCAACAGCATGTGGAGAAATTCTTACAGAATCAACAGGGACCATTCAAAGTCCTGGCCATCCAAATGTCTACCCCCACGGTATCAACTGTACTTGGCATATATTAGTCCAACCTAATCACCTGATTCATTTAATGTTCGAAACATTTCATCTGGAGTTTCATTACAATTGCACAAACGACTACTTGGAAGTTTATGACACCGACTCTGAGACATCCCTTGGAAGGTAAGGTTATGTTTGTTTGTTTGTTTAACAATAAAACTTCACTGATTTCCTGCTTCAGTGAAGGATCTTAAAATTGACCACGTTGTGTTATGAAAACCAGGTGAGATCCTCATGCTTCTTAATGACCATTTCTACATAACTACTCTGTAGTTGTGGCCTTGTAGGCATTAAGTTTTGACATCTGTATATATTCATGAAGTCAAAACCAAAATTAAAATAATGCATATATCCACTACCCACAAAACTTTCTTCCTTTCCGTTATAATTCCTTGCTTTTGTTCCTCACCCCCACCCACAGGAAACCACAAATCTACTTTCTATCTCTGTAGATTCGTTTGCATATCATCTAAATGGAATCATACTATACGTACTGAATGTTTTTCTGACTTTCCTCAATTAGCATAATTTTTGTTGAGCTTCTTGGATCCGAAGATTTGTAGTTTTATCAAATTGAAACATTCTTGGCCACTGGTTCTTAAAATATTTTTCTGTCTTTCCTCCCCATTAGGGACTCTGATTTCATGTATATTAGGCACTTGAAATTGTTCTACAACTCTCTTGATAGTCTGTTTGATTTCAAGCCTCTGTTCTCTGTGTGTTTTACTTTGGAAAGTTCCTATTACTATATATTCAAGTTCACTCATCTTTTCTTATGCAATGTCTAATCTGCTATTAACTTTACCAAGTGTATTTTTCATCTTAGATATTGTAGTTTTCATTTTAGAAGTTCAATTTGAGTCATTTTATATGTAGTCCATGTCTCTACTTTACACATGAATTTTTTTTCTCTAGCTTAAAAAATCTGTGAGATATAGTTGTAGCTATTTTAATGACTTTATCTACTAATTCAGACATTTGGATTGTTTCCTGCTATGGTTTTATAGATTGATTTTTCCTCTCTTTCTGAGTTATACTTTCCCACGTCTTTTCATGTCTGGGTAATATTCAGTGGGATACCAGACATTTTCAATTTTATGTTTTTGGCTGCTGGACATTGTCATATTCCTGTAAGTATTCATGAGCGTTGTTCTGGAAAGCAGTTAAGCTACTTGGAAACAGGTTGATCCATTTCAGTTTTGCCTTTAAACTCATTTGTTTCCTGTCTCTGAAGGTTTGTTGTCCTACATTGCTTGATATCCAGTGTTTTGAGAGCCATTGTTTTATACGTTTTTGTCCAGGATTTTTGTTGTTTCAGGTGCAAAGTTAAATCTAGCCTGTTATTACATTTCTGTTGGAAATGGAAATCTTTTGATATTTTAAAATGTCTTTATCTTGCATTTTATTTTCTTTATTTCTCATTCATGTTTTAAATATCCTTCTTATCCTAATCTTTCATCTTTTTAACTTTCTTCTTTTTCTTTTTTGGGAAGGTACTTAACACATCACCACTGCAAAATACAGAACGTTTGCTGAATGGCATAAACTATAATGATCTTCCCCAAATTTCATATACATGGGCATATACGAAGGCATTTAAAATATCAATTAGTTCACCTACCTTTATTTTGATGAAGATATTAAATTTTTTTTCACACTGCAATGGTATTATACACCAAATTTTCTTTCTTTTTCTCCTTTAGCAATTGACGTATCCATTTCCCGTACTCAACATTTCCTCTCTTTTTGGTTTCTATATTTGTTTTCTTTATCATTTCTTTTGGTTAATTTTACCAAGTGTGCTTTGATTTGAGATTCCTATTTTATTGTCACTTCTTCCTACAGGTATTTCTCCAGATAAAAGCTCATGGCATTCTGTCTTTTATCACAACTCTCTTTTTAACATTAATAGAATAGTTTTTCTGAGCTAAACTGCTTTTGTTCAGCAGAAACATGGCATGGCTGAATCATCACTCTTATCTCTTTATAAGTGAGCTGTTTAAGGACAATAGATTCCCTCTATAGGGGTTACGATTGTAGGCACTGTTCTAAGTGCTTTATATACAGGGTATTAACTCATCACATTCTCAAAACAACTCTATGAAGTAGGTACTGTCATCATTCCCATTTTAGGGATGAGGAAGGCAAGGCACAGGGATTGAGTGATCTATGAGTTTAGATTAGAGAGATGACTCTATGATTTTATGATATATTGTTTCCCTTTGTTGTATAAGTTTATTACATTTCTATTAAAAAGTGTATTAATATGCTATATGGCAATCTAGTGTAGCTTTTATTAAACTTCTCATACATGACAACTCACATAGCCAGTCACATACCTAAAACCATTTCAGGGATATAATCATGAACGGGACAATCTTTCGTAAGTTTGCAAATCTTTTTTGCCTGAAATATATTTGTGTTTTAAGGTTGATGAGAGGTAGAGAACAAAACCTATTATTATATTTACATGTCCAAATTTTTGTTACATCATTTTCAGTATACCAAACTAAAATACACACATCTGTCCTTTCTTGGTTTGGAATAGATACTGTGGAAAGTCGATCCCGCCATCTCTCACAAGCAGTGGTAACTCATTGATGCTGGTGTTTGTGACTGACTCCGACCTCGCTTATGAAGGCTTCTTAATAAACTATGAAGCAATCAGTGCAGCAACAGGTAACAAAACAGCATTGCATACTCGGTTTTATTGACTCCATTGCAAAACAGTGCTAATAGCTAAAACACAATGAGAATACATCATCCGCAAACCTGTGGCACACAATGAGAGCTATATTTAGAATAAAGGGTAGTGACTTAAATACCTTCCTTATTAAAAGTAGTGACTAGATAAGAATATTGTGTCAATATTAAATCTTCTAATGTTGGTAATTGTACTGTGGTTTTGTTAAAAGAACGTTTTTTCTTCCCTTAGGAACAATACACTGAAGTTTTCAGACGGTAAAGAAATATAATGTCTCCAAAGTACTCTGAATTGGCTGAGATAATAAGTGTGAATATTTGTGTGTCTGTGCATGTGTGTGTGGGGGGGGGGGGAGAGAGAGAGAGAAATGATAAAGTAATGGGAGCAGAATACAAATACATAATAAATCTGGGTAAAAAGAATTCAGGAGCTCATTCTTGCATCTTTTAAAATTCTATCAGAATGAAAAGTTACCAAAGAGACTGAATACTTATGTTAAGAAATTAGAAACAGAATAACAATGTATAAAAATTAGAGACTACCGCATGAAATTCCAGGGAAAGGAATGGAAGATTTCTTGGCAAAATATGCATTTCTCAATTTGACCTAATGAAGTTAAACTTTTCAGCATTTATTCCTTTCATTGTATTTTTCCTATTACTTAATTTCTCATTATTACTATGCCCTTTGCAAATGAAGTATAGGAAACAAATCCCTTTTGCAGGCACAGTCTTTGAGGTAAGATGTGAACCAGAGATGCTCCCAGCCCCAAGAGCCTGTGCATGGGATTGATGAAGGAGTCATATTTCGTTAGGCTCATGTTTCCCTAGGATGTGTTGTTTTTTAGAGACTCTGAGCTTTCCTTTTGCATCATTGTATTAAAGGACCCAAATAACATCCAGCATAGACCCATAGTAGGCATATGGTGACCATGCTTCCAAGCATTTCTCCGCTTTGGGATTACCCCAGCAGCATGGTACAATTCACTGAGCTCCCTCCAGAAAGAACTGGTAGCTTTTCCTATGTTGGGACATGCACCCTGTGACACACTCTGGCATCCTGAGAACCCCAGATGCTTATCTTTTAAAGTCCCCACTCCCTAAAATAAATAAAAGTTTAAACATCTCCCACTCAAAATCTTACCCAATTTCCCATTTATTTCTCCTTCAGAGGGGCTGGCCACTACTCTTCATTTCAGGCAAAACTCTGCAGCAGTTCAAGTTCTATGTTCAAAAGCATGGCTTTAGATTTGCTCCAGAATCCTGAGTGTGAGAGAATCAATCAATACTTTTCTCCCAGGTAGGAACCTCTGCAGGAGCAGTTCATTATCCAGCTCAAGTGCAAGCACATGCGAAATGGAATCCCTGGCAGTTACAATAGGCTATGGTGTGTGATTGACGTATTCACTGGACTTCATTCAGGTGGTTAACATCCAGTGACCAAAATTGGTTTCTTAAGAAATTATAGGGTGCACACAATTTTTCATGCTGTTGTAGTTTTATCTGTCTGGTATGTTTGGCCCCAAAGCACACTGAATATTAGATCAGGATTTGGAGCAAGTCACTTGAACTCTCTAGGCCACAGTTTTCTCATCTGTAAAATTAAGGAATTGGATTTGGTAATCTTCGAGAGATGACTTCTGGCTTTAATCATCTATGAACATAATTTTAATTTGGTGCATGAATAAACTGGCTGTATCTTAGATAACATATAATACAGGCAGGGCCTCCTGAAAATGTGGAAATCTTTGTAATGATATGCAAAGTAAGACATACCTTTGTAAAACAATTCTATTACCATCCTAGCTTGTAAGGCAATATTTTGTGCAGAAAGAACCCAGAGCAGTTAAAATAATTGGGCAGGGAGGATATTAGATTTTAATTCTAAAAGTTTTCAGAAAGATAAGATACACGTAAAATAAAAATGAGTCAGGAAAAGAGATAGAAGCAAACTGGACAGGAAAGGAAACTATAAAGAAAGAGAGAAGAAAAAGCAAGCAATAAAAGTGAAGGGGAGACGATGTTTTCATAGAAACTCAAAAGATTCTCCAGCTGGCTTCCCTGTGTGATAATCATTACTTTGGCCTCTATTTGGTCTGCATAAGGCTGAAATCACAGACGAGGGAGTGTTTGCTTTCTGTCCCTGGGCTGAGCCCGGCTGGTCACTGTGCCCGCTTGTTGTTGGATGAACTCATAGGTCTGACTAACACAGTCAAGCCATTCTAAATAGCAATCAGATGACGAGATCCAGGAAGACACAACACACCTTCTGTTTATAATTCTGGAGCCTGTCACAGTTTCCCATAGATCAAGACCTGAGAGATCGGCTCTCATGCATTGCTGAGGGGGGGTCCTGCAGCATTTTTTAGGGAAGGGCTGGTGTCAGGAGACTGAGCTGGTGTTGGGCTGGTGACACCAGGTGGTGGGCTAGTACTTTAAGGCAGTGGCTAGACCTAGAAGGCAGCCAGAGTCAGAGTGAGCTGCTGGTGTGGAAACACAGAGATGCTAGGACTCATTCTTTTCAGGTGTCATCGTATGTTGGATATTTTCTGCAGAATAAAATAGCATCAGGGAAAAGCATCAAGGGAAGCTCAGTCATTTGCCCTCATCTTACTTTATTGTTCTAACAGAAGTTATTTCCAGAGCAGTAATGTTGGTATTTGGTTGTTGATTTCTAGCTCCTCAGCCCAACAGGTGTGAGTTTGCCTGCTGAAGTCTTTCTTGTCTTCATCTGATAAAGGTTAAGTTTCCGGATTTGAGTTCAGATACTTTTCCATCTGTAGTTTGTGCCATGTGGCTATGATGTCAGCCCCAAAATATGTGTTTGGGAGAAAAAAGATTGGTTTCTTGTGATTACTGGGACTTCCTCCCTTGTTACTTTGTTTCTGCCTTTATCCAGATGTGCCTGGGAAAACAGAAAGAAAAGAACTAACAAGTACAGGTTTAACAGGTTAAAACTCTTACGAAGTTCTTAGAAACTACAAGACTAAGCTTTAATTTAACGTATTAGATTTTGCTCATTCAAACTACAAAATATTTGAATCCTGAGAGACTATAATTGACTAATGTTATCAATTTAAAGTAAAATTTTATATTCTATTAACATGTATTGCATATACATTAATATATAATCCTGCTAAGAGGGAACTTTAAAAGTATAAACAGGGACAGATAAATGTACCGGATTCATTTTCAACTTTAATATTAGAGGAAAACCTATGTAACATCTAGTCCAGTGCTTTTCAAACTGCAATTCATGACTCATTCGTGAGTCATGAAATTAATTTATTCGGTTGCTACTTGTGATTGCTAAAAGTATGGAGTAGGATAGAAAGGAATAGGAGAGAAAGTATCAGAGTTTATCATACAAAGTAAGGTGCCGCTTCATGAGAACTGTTTGTAGTATCTCCGCGCATGGGTGGCTAACGTAAATGTATTTTTTAGGGTATGTCAAGAAAGTTTGAAGCACAAATCTATTCCAGTTACCTTAATTTTTAAATGAGGGAGATAGAAGTCTAGGATGTTGAATTTATCCTCCCAAGAATACATAGCTGATTGGTTTGAAAGTCAGACTAAACAACTGAGTCCCGTCTTAGAATCCATTGCTTTTGCCATGTCTAGGTTAGCTCTTAGAAACGCTCTAAATGAACTGCATATAACAGCTAGTAACATTTAATTCAGGGCTATCATCAAACTGTGGTGGATTTTTCATATTTCCTGCAAAGCGAAAACCTTCACAATTGTCCAGGGAAATGGCCAAGGATGATCCCAACAACAACAACACAGGATTAGAGATGAGCCCTACTGGGCTTTCTTGGCCTCCCTCCTTCCCAGGGCAGGGTTCCCACCTACTCATCAGTGGGTGGTTAGTGCTGTTTTTTATCAGTGATCCTGGAATGAGCTCAGAAGAGGCATCTAGCAGTGCAAAGTTAAGAAATGATGACAAACATGCCCAAAGAGGCCTTCTTTACACTAAACGGGTAAAGAGAGTTCTGTTTCTATTTTAAAACTTCAGTTTGGGAGTGTAGTGTTCTCAAATTCTAGTGTTCATAAGGAATTTGAGATGGGGGATTTTCTTGCTATAAATTCAGGCATCTGGGCCCCACCCAGAAATTCTGATTAAAATAGGTCTAGGGTGCTTGTTCGCCAAGCAATTCAAGGGGTTCTAATGAAACTTTGTAGTTTATCAAGGACTCTGAAAGTCAAGCCTTAGCATGTGAATTGCTGTAGAATTACAAGGGAGATACAATAGTGGATTGGACTGTAACTGCTCATGATGGAAAGTACTATTCATGACACAGGGAAAGGGGATGCTGTAGGGAGGTCAGAAGTCTTGGTCCTACTCTCAGCCTTGATACTAATTAGGAATACTTTTGTTTGTTTGTTTTTGGGTTTTTTTTGTTGTTGTTTTTGTTGTTTGTTGGTTTGTTTTTTGAGATGGAGTTTCACTCTTGTTGCCCAGGCTGGAGTGCAATGGCAATATCTCAGCTCACTGCAACCTCTGCCTCCTAGGTTCAAGTGATTCTCCTGCCTCAGCCTCCCAAGTAGCTGGGATTACAGGCATGGTCACCATGCCTGGCTAATTTTGTATTTTTAGTAGAGACAGGGTTTCACCGTGTTGGTCAGGCTGGTCCTGAACTCCTGACCTCAGGTGATCCCCCCGCCTCAGCCTCCCAAAGTGCTGTTATTACAGGCATGAGCCACCGCACCCAGCCATAATTTGGAATACTTTGGACAACTCACAAGCCTCTCTGATTATTTCTATCGACCTTGAATTCTGTATTCTTTGCTATGAGAGATTCAGATATTTTCCCTCTGGAAAAGGTGTTGTAGTAAGTCGATTCGTCTTTTAAAGATTTACTTTCTTACTGGCTAGTGTTTTCTCATAATTTTGTATGTACAGGTGTCCCAGCACTTCTCTGCTCAGTTCGTTTATCTTGTTTGTTATATTTCTTACTCCTTAGAATAAAAATGCAACAAAATGCTTAATCATGATATTCTGAGTTCCCTACTTGTCTTCATCCTTAAATTGACATTTCCTGTGTAGAAAAACCAGGGATTGTGGCCAGGCAGGGTGGCTTATGCCTGTAATCCCAGCACTTTGGGAGGCTGAGGCAGTCGGATCACCTGAGATCGGGAGTTCGAGACCAGCCTGACCAACATGGAGAAACCCAGTTTCTACTAAAAATACAAAATTAGCCAGGCGTGGTGGCTCATGCCTGTAATCCCAGCCACTTGGGAGGCTGAGGCAGGAGAATTGCTTGAACCTGGGAGGCGGAGGTTGCGGTGAGAGAAAATCGCACCACTGCACTCCAGCCTGGGCAACAAGAGCGAAACTCCATGAAAAAAAAAAGAAAAAGAAAAGAAAAACCAGGGATTGTTAAAGAGAATAGGATTTGGAAAGAGGGAACTTGGGTTCATATTTTATCTTGGCCATGTCTGAAGTTAAGTGTCTTTTAGAATTTAATCTCCAGGAACCTGAGATCTCTCATCTACACCTCTCTAAAAAGTGTGGTGATAATGCCTGGCTGTTTTGCAAAGTTGAGGAAGACAAAATGAGACATTCAATGTGAAAATTACATTAGAGTTGTAAAGGACCATGACTTTGCCAGATATAAAATATGATTCTCAATATCCAAGGACAATTTTACAATAGCTACTTTGCTTATTTCTATATGAATCTGCACTGGTCATCTGAGAGGGAAAAGAAAAAGCAATGACCATGACCGCCTAGCAGAAAATTGTAGCAAAATGTTGAGTTTGATTGAGAAGGCTTCTTCTTTCTTAAGGGAGAAACTGAACCTGTAATTATATCTTCCCTTGGGTCTTCACTTTGAAGGATGCTAAACCAAATATGTCTGTGGAAGCAGATGATGGCTCCTGGGTTAGCTGTTTATTTAGCACATTCCTAGAATATCAGAGGTCATATGGATTCATTCAGAAACCAAACATTTCATAAGTGATTTCAGAAAGCATAGCCTAAAGATTGAGCCTCAATGTAATTGGATAGTCACATAAATCATCCCATAATGCAAAGCAGGAAGGAGCTGGAGCAGTTCCCCATAATCTAGAGTCTCCCTATGAGATGCATTCCTCTCTCCAGAGGATCAGCTTATCCTATTTCTGTGGCTCAAATTTTATGGGACTGATATCATTGTTGCTTTGTGGTTTGGAAGGTTATAGATGTTTCTCATTTTCCCCTTTGATAATGAGCCAAGTCCTGTGTTACAAAAACTTATTTGAAAATGTTTAGTGAAGGCAAAGATACATTGTGAGTTTTAGAAAAGTCTAGTTTTGTGATTTTTGTAATGGTCCACAGAAGGCATTTGTATGTTTTTTCATTTCTTTCTTTACATTTTTTTTTTTTGAGGTTGGTCAGAGAGAAAAATATGTGAGTTTTGCCAACAGTTGTCTTTGATCCTCAGAGATGTGCTTTTCCATTGCTAGTTCAGTTGAATTTAGGGGATAGGAAAAATGTACTTTCATTTTTCATTTCTTTGTAAATGTTCTTAGACCATAATAAAAGGCTAAACTGATATTGGATATGAATTTTCCTTTGGCAATACAAGATAAAATAAAAGGCATAGATACATTTTTATCTTTGCATTTTGTATTGATGTAATAATAAGCATCATGCCAACACATAAATATCCTTGTATGGAAACACATTCTAATTTAATCATTTGTGCTTTGTTGAAAATCACAAGAGGAAACCAAAACTTAGTATTGATATTTTTCAGTATTACTATTATTCTAGAAGGAGCCATTTATATTGTCAAGGGAAGAAATGTAAACATCTATAGAGTTCAGTGATAGTTAAGAGGGGTTTTTAATCTTTCAAGAAATAGATGCATTAAGTTCAGAGAATAGTAATTTTTCTCTCTATGAAATTTGAATCTCATAAAACTACCATCAGGTTTTAAGATTAAATATCCTATTGTTTAATACGTGTAGCAGGGGTCCCTTCAAATATGATGTTTTATTTCTCTATTTCAATTTTATGTATTCTTTATTAGATATCTGAATTATTTATTGGACTTTCTCTAGAGAGTGCAACCTGTCTGTGCACAGAACTTTCAAGCTTTTAACATAATATGGATTTTTCCCTGTAATTTCAGTAAATTTATCCATAATTTTCAGAATTGTGTACACCCATTTAACTACCTCTCCATTCAAGCTATCGAATACTTCTGTCCCTCCAGAAGGGATCCTCGTGTTCCTTTTATTAGTTTCCTCAACAACCTCTATGTCAGCAAACACACACCTGGTTTCTACCAATATAGAATAGTTTTAACTGTGCAAAAGGCAGCTGTGAACAGGAATACATAGTATGTATTCTTTTGTGTCTGGCTTCTTTTTTTTTTGAGACGGAGTCTCTCTGTCACCCAGGCTGGAGTGCAGTGGCGCGATCTCAGCTCACTGCTACCTCCGCCTCCCAGGTTCAAGCGATTCTCTTGCCTCAGCCTGCCCAGTAGCTGGGATTACAGGTGCGCGCCACCATGCCCGGCTAATTTTTTGTATTTTTAGTAGAGACAGGTTTTCATCATGTTGACCAGGCTGGTCTTGAACTCCTGACTTCTTGATCTGCCCAAATTGGCCTCCCAAAGTGCTGGGATTACAGGCGTGAGCCACCGCACCCGGCTTGGCTTCTTTCATTTGGCATAATGTGTCTGGAAATTTTTCATGTTGCTGTATTCATGTGTTTTTTTCTTTCTATTGCTGACTAGCCTTCCATTGCATCGATATATCATAATTTGATTATCTGTTCACCTGTTGTTAGATAGTTGAGCTTTTTTTTCCCAGTTTTTAGCTATTACAAAAAAAGCTACCATGAACATTGACTTGCAGGTTTTTTGTGGACGTATTCATTCTCTTGCGTAAAATACCTAGGAGTAGAACTTCTGGGTCTCATATGGTAATGATATGTTTAACTTTATAAGAAAGTGCCAAATTGTTTTCCAAAGTGGTTATGCCATTTTATATTCCCACCTATATGATTGACAATTCTGAAATAGGAGTTGGGGCTCCACACCAGACCAGATGGAAGACTGGCTAAAACAGGGAAGAGACAGAAGCACCTCTGCATAAGACATGCCCAACAGCGCCATGACAGTGTGCCATTGCCATGACAACACCCAGAAGTTACCATCCTTTTTCTAGACATTTCCAAATAACTCACCCCTTAATTTGCATGTGGGTGTAAATATGACTGCACAACTGCGCCAAGCTGCTACCCTCAACACGTTGCCTATGGGGTAGCCCTGCTCTGCAGGAGCAGTCACGGAGCTGGAACACTGATACCTCAGTGAAGCTGATTTTTTCTACCACCAGCTCACCCTTGAATTCTTTCCTGGCCAAAGCCCAAAACCTTCCTGGGTGGAGTCCCAATATGGGGGCTTGCCTGCCTTGCAGCAGTTCTTTTCTCCATCTTTCCCAATCCTTAATATTGCCAATCTTTTCATTTTTAGCCACTGGCAGTTGCATAGCAGTATCTGATGGTTTTATTTTGCATTTCCCTGATGACTAATAGTGCTGAGTCCTTTTCACGTGCTTTTTGACAATTCATTTATTTTCTTTTGTGAGGTGTTCATTAAAACCATATGGTTCATTTTTGTTTGTTTCTTATTAATGAGTCATATGTTGTATATTCTGCATACAAATACGTCCTTTGCCAGATAAATGTATTGCAAGTATTTTCTTCCAGTGTGTGGCTAAACTTTTCTTTTCCTTATGGTATCCTTTGAAGAACAGAAGTTCAATATATCCTTTTATCCCTTTTATGGTTAGTGCATTTTGTATCTTGTCTGAGAAATATTTCACTACCGAAGTTATCAGGATCTCCCACGTGCATCCTTCTAGAAGTTGTTTTTTTTTTGAGACGGAGTCTCACTCTGTCGCCCAGGCTGGAGTCCGGTGGTGCGATCTCGGCTCACTGCAAGCTCCGACTCCCGGGTTCACGCCATTCTCTTGCCTCAGCCTCCCGAGTAGCTGGGACTGCAGGCGCCCGCCACCATGCCCAGGTAATTTTTTGTATTTTTAGTAGAGACGGGTTTCACCGTGTTAGCCAAGATGGTCTCGATATCCTGACCTTGTGATCCGCCCGCCTCGTCTTCCCAAAGTGCTGGAATTACAGGCGTGAGCCACCGCACCCGGCTCCTTCTAGAAGTTTTATAGTTTGAGATTTTATACGTGTTCTATGATCCATTTTGCATCAATTTTTCTATATGGTGTGAGTTATGTGTCCAAGTGTGTTTAGCAAATGGTATTTAATTGTTCAAGCACCATTTATTGAAAAGATTCTCCTTCACCCCCACTCCCACTGAATTGCTTTTGCATTTTTGTTGAAAATCACCTGCCTGTGTTCATGTGTAGGTCTGCTTCTGGAATCTCTATTTCATCACACTGCTGTACATATTTACCCCTTTAACAATAGAACATTATATTACTTAATGTTACATAATTTCATATTGTATATTAAAATCTGGAAGTATAAAACCTCTAGATTGGTACTTATTTTTCAAAATTGTTTGGGCTATCCTAGATTTTTTGTGTCTCCATATTCATTTTAGAATCAGCTTTTCAATATATAAAAAAACTTGAGAATTTGATTGAGATTGCATTGAATTTACAGACCAATTTGGGGATAAAGGTCATCTTAAATTCAGCCTTCCAATCCATGAACATATTTTACCTCTCCATTTATTCAGATCTTCCTTCATTTCCTTCAGCAATAAAGTTTTCAGTGTAGAGTTTGTGCATGTTTCTATTAAACTTGTTATCAAGTGTTTCGTGTTTTTATGCTATTATAAAATGACATGCCATATTATATATGCTATTTTAAAATTTTACTTTCTGGTTGTTTGGCTGATATATGCAACATAAATGGATTTTTGTATACATATCTTGTATTCTGCAGTCTTGTTTAACTCAGTTATTAGTTCTAATGACTTAAATAAATCCTTTAGTATATACTACATAGATGACAATAACTGTGAATAAGTTAAATAAGTTTTATTTTTTCCCTTCTCTCTCTCTGTCCCTCTTTCTCTGTGTATGTGTATTGCTGTGATGGCTAGAACTTTCTGTGCATTCTTGAACAGAAAGGGTGAGGTTGGAATGTTGGCCTTTTTCTTAATCTTGACAGGAAAGCGTTTAGTCCTTTACCACTTAAGTATGATGTTAGCTTTGGATTTTCCATAGATGCCATTCATCAGTTTGTGGAGTTCCCTTCTGGGCATACTTGCTGAGTTTTTATCCTGGATAGGTGTTGAATTTTTCTGCATCTTTTGGTATCTTTCAAAGCTTTTCTTTTTTTATTCTGTTTAGGTGGTAAATTATGTTGATTTAGTTTTCTACTGTCAAACCAATCTTGTGTAATACATCAGAACTCCACCTGGTTCTGATCTATTATAACTTTTACGTGTATTCAGAATTGTTATGCTAAAATTTTCTTATGGATTTTTGCATCAGTGTAAGACATACTGAACTGTAATCTTCCTGAATTTCTTTGTCTGGTTTGGTATAGGAGTAATATTGGTCTTGTTAGTTAGAAAATATCTTCTCCTCTATTTTCTGAGTTTGTGGAATATAAACAATTTCTTAATTGTTTGATACAATTCCACCAGTGAAATTATTTGAGCCTGTAGTTTTCTTTGTAGGAAGGTTTTATATTACAAATTTAATTTCTTCAATTAATAGAGACTATTAAAGCTTTCTATTTCATTTTGAGTCAGTTATGGGAATTTTGAAAGAATTCATCTATTTTATGTATGTTGTCAAATATATTTGCACAGTTTTTTGTAATGGTGTCTTTCTATTATTTTAATGTCTGAAGATTCTATAGTGACATCCCCTCTTCATTCCTGAAAATGGTAATTTGTGTTTTTTTTCTTTTTTCTTTGATCAGTTTTGGTAGAATTCTATCAATTTTAATAATTTTCTCAAAGAACCAATTTTTGACATTGTTTATTTTCTCTATTGCTATTGCATTTTCCATTTAATTGATTTCTGTTCTTATATTATTTCATTTAATTCTTGCCTTAGTTAGCTTTTCTCTAGTTTCTTTAGATAAAAATTAACTACAGATAGATAGATATAGATATAGCCTTTAAGCACTACTTCACTTCACCTCCCCAGTTTTTTTTTTTTTTTTGAGACGGAGTTTCACTCTCGTTGCCCAGGCTGGAGTGCAGTGGTGCGATCTCAGCTCACTGCAACCTCCGCCTCCTGGTTTCAAGTGATTCTCCTGCCTCAGCCTCCCAAGTAGCTGGGATTACAGGCGCTCGCCACCATGCCTGGTTAATTTTTGTATTTTTGGTAGAGACGGGGTTTCACCATATTGGTCACCCTGGTCTTGAACTCCTGACCACGTAATCTGCCCACCTTGGCCTCCCAAAGTGCTAGGATTACAGGAGTGAGCCACTGCGCCCAGCCACCTCCCAAATTTTAATGTTTTATTTTCAGTAACTTCCAGTTCAAAATATTTTCCAATTATCTTGTGATTTCTTCTTTGTTCTATGGATTATTTGCAAATGTATTATTTAACTTTCAAATATTTGCAGGTTTTCTAGATGTCTTATTGATTTATAATTTCAGTTTTATTGTGGTTAAATGATATACTTTCTAAGTTTTCAATTGTTTAAAATTTATGGAGAATTGTGTTACAGCCCTGCATGTGGTCTATGCTGCTGAATGTTTCATGTATGCTTGAAAAACTGTGTTGTCTGCAGTTATTAAGTGTAGTGCTCTCTGTCAATTGGCTTTAAGTCGGCTGAGTGTTGGTCAGATTTTCTATACCCCTATTCATCTTTATCTGTTTCATTTTCGGTTACTGAGAGAAAGGTGTTAAAATCTTCAACTCTAATCATGGTTTTATTTTTTTCTTTAATTTTTGCCTTTTCACTTTCCTTCGTGTATTTTGAAACTATTACTTCATGCATGCACATTTAGGATTATTATGTTTTACTGATAAATTGTCCCCTTTGTCATTATGAAATGTCTTTCTATAAATCTAATAATATTATCCTTCTTGAAGTCACTTTTGTTTGATATTATTTCAGTGATTTCAGCTTTCTTATATTTACTGTTCATATGGTATATCTTTTTTCATTCTTTTAGTTACAACTTAGTTTCACCATTATATATAATGGCATCATTATATATAATGTGCATGCATAGTAAAAAACATATAATTGGGTCCTGCTTTTTCTGTGTTTTAGTTGAAGTATTTAGACCATTTACAACTAATGTAATTATTTTTATGGTTGAATTTAACATACCATTATGGTAGTTGTTTTCCATTCATCTCTTTTTGTGTTGCCATTATTCTGTCTTCATTTTGGTTTACAGAATATTATTAGTATTCCATTCTATTTCCTTCATTGTCTTTTTAATGATACCTTTTTTTTTGTATTTTTACATTAGGTCTAAAAATATACTCCTTAACTTATAAGCAAGTTTTCTTAGAGTTAATATGCAGCTGCTTTACATTTCATACCTTCCAATTCATACCTGACACTTCATATTACACAAATTCCCCTTTATACTTCACAAGTGAAATACTGTCATACTAGTGTAATTCCATGTGCCTATCCTTCTGTGTGCTGTTTTAGTTATATCTTTTACTTCTCTCTGTGTTATAAATTCACCTTACTATTATTTTTGCTTTAAATCACTAATTCTCTCTCTCTCTCTCTCTTTTTTTTTTTTTTTTTTTTTTTTTTTTGAGACTGAGTCTCAGTCTGTTGCCCAGGCTGGAGTGCAGTGGCAAGCTCCCAGCTCACTGCAACCTCCACCTTCCGGGTTTCAGCAATTCTCGTGCCTCAGCCTCCCGAGTAGCTGGGACTACAGGCATGCACCAGCACGCCTGGCTAATTTTTGTATTTTTTTTAGTAGAGACAGGGTTTCACCATGTTGGCCAGGCTGGTCTCGGACTCCTGACCTCAGGTGATCTGCCCACCTCGGCCTCCCAAAGTGCTGGGATTGCAGGCATGAGCCACCGCACCCAGCCTACTTCTCTCTATATTATAAATTCACCTTACTATTATTTTTGCTTTAAATCACTAATTCTCTTTTAAGGAGATAATGAAAAGAAAGCCTATCATTTATATTTATACAATGATTTATCATTTCCAGTGTTCTTCATTCCTTCTTGGAGATATTTTCTGTTTGGTATCATTTTCCTTTGGCCCAATGGATATTATTATTTCATACAGTACAAGTCTTCCAGTGACAAATTATGTCAGCTTCTGTTTGTCTAAAAATGTTACACTCTCGTTTTTTAAAAAAGTAGTTTTGCTGGATATTTAAACCTGTTTTCCCCATCTCAACATTTTAAAGATGTATTCCATTTTCTTCTTGCCTCCATTGCTTCTGTTTAGAAGCCAGCTGTCATCCTTATCATGATGTCCCTGTATGTGATGTGGCTTCCCCCCCGCCCCAACTGGCTTCTGTGTTTTCCTTGTTTCTGTTTTCTAATAGATTCACTCTGACATGTCCAAGTGTAGTTTTCTTTTATTTCTCCTGTTTAGTATTGACTGAACTCCTATATCTTACTAGACATTTTTCATAAAATTTAGGAGAATTTTAGCCGCTATTTCCTTCTCCTTTTTTGGCCCATTTTTATTACCTTCTTCTTCTGGTTCTCTAATTGTATGTGTGTTAACCTATTTGTTGTTTTTTCTTTGTTTTTTTAAATATCTGTCCATTTTCCTGGAGTTCTTTTTTCTTTGTTCTTTAGATTAAATTATGTCTATTAATACATATTAAAGTTTACTGACCTTTTTTTCTTCTGCCTACAGTTTACTGTTAAACTTGTCATGAAGTTTTAATTTGAATTAGTGTAATTTTAAGTTATATAATTTTCATGGTTCCTTTTAATAATTTTCTCCCTTTTTGGGCCAAAATTTCATATCTGTTTACTTTTTAAGGCTTTTTCTTTAAGTCTTTGCACATATTTTTAATGGCTGCTTTAAAGTCTTTCTCTTTTAAATCTAACACCTGGATCATCTTTGAATCACAAGATGACATTTTTTTTCTCAACTATGACCACATTTTTCTTGACTACTGATGACATTTCTTTTCTTGATTTGATTCATATTTTCTCATTTTTTGTTTTGTTTTTTTAAGACGGACTCTCACTCTGTCGCCAGGCTGGAGTGCAGTGGCATGATCTCGGCTCACCGCAAGCTCCACCTCCCAGGTTCAAGCGATCCTCCTGCCTTAGCCTCCTGAGTAGCTGGGACTACAGGCGCCCACCACCACACCCAGCTAATTTTTTGTATTTTTAGTAGAGATGGTGTTTCACCATGTTGGCCAGGATGGTCTTGATCTCTTGACCTCATGATCCACCTGCCTTGACCTCCTAAAGTGCTGGGATTACAGGTGTGAGCCACTGCACCTGGCCCATATTTTCTCTCTTTTTTTTTAATATTTGTAATAGTTTTGGGTTTTATAGTGGACATGATAGATTGGGACATGATATGGGGGTCCCATATCATGTGGGTAAATTATGTGTTGTAGACACTCTGTATTATCTTATCTTCCTCTGAAGCTAGTTTGATATCTAGCTGATTACTTTGTATCTGCATAGGTTTATATCTGTACTTGCTAAAGAATATTTGTGAACATCCCTGTTTCTCGAGCCCCTCTAACTTGCTAGGTCTCTACCTCCAACTTCTATGATTCCTGCAGGTCTTGTTAAGACTTATCCTTTGGCCCGGAAGTTCTAGAGAGCCCTACTCTTGGCCATGGTCTTCACTTGTAAGATATGGCCTTTTAGGTGTCTCATTTGAATGCCTGAGGTGTTAAGGAGGTATCCCCATTCTGGAATGGGAGAGAACTCTAAATGATCTTGTTTCCGCTTCCAGCCTAGTAGCAGCTCCTGTCTGACATGCTTTCTGAAGTCTCACCTTATGTATTCTCAGCCCAGGCTTAGCTAAGAATCCATGGGAAGCCCTACTCAGATGCCCGGCTTTCCTCTCTATATACTTCTTCTTCTCTGTAGAATTTCCATATAGTTCCAGCTGCTTTGGCAACTCTAATCTTTGCATCATCAGCTCAGTAGGACTGTCATTCACTACTTGGACTTCAGCTCCCTTCTGTGGTCAGGAAATTCTGCACAGGTAGAAAGCCAAGGAAATCAAGAGTCGTACATCATGAGTTTCCTTTCTGTCAAGAATCACAATCTTGTACTGCAGATTGTCCAATATTTTGTTCAGTTTTACAGTTCTTAAGGAGAGCAGCTAGTTTAGTACAGTTGCTTGTCATAGCTGGAATTAAAAAAATATTAAAGAACCTCAGCCAACCAGGATAGAGTACAGGAAGAAGAGAGAGAGAGGAAAAATGAGGTGAGAAAAATAGAAGTCGTAGGATTGGAGTTTAGGGGTAGTTTGAAAGAGAAGAACTGAATGGAGTAGGGAGAGTGGGAGGAACTTAGATGCATGTACCAGTCCCCTTCGTTTCCAACACATCATGTAATAATATTTCAACAACTACTTACTGGGACCTCATCTGGGCCAGGTACTACAGTGATAGTAAATAATGGTTAATAAAGTCTTAGTCATATCCCAAGGTTTAGTAAGGTAAATATACTCACATAAAAACAATTACAAAATATGTTTGGGGTTCAAATTGCTATTTGCATAAAATTTTATTATGCTAAATAAATTAATTCTGCTTGGTTGGGAAAGGTTTCAGCCAACCTTAAATGATGGGTAAGAGTGTATATGTTAAACTGTGTATTGGCAGGGGTTGTTGGGTGGCGGGTTAGGTAAAGGGTAAAGCATTTCAGACAAAGTGAATGGTGTAAATATCATTGGAACACATCAAGAACTGTAGTTTACTTTTGTGCCAGCAACAGAAAAGAAGCTTGGTGAGTAAATCAAAATTTCAGTACAGATTAACAGACTCCCACCAGTTGTTCCAGAATAATCACATTCATGTAAGCAAGATAAAGGGAAACTACCCATCATTATTGCCCCAAAATGTCATTAATTCAGGTTCCTCCACCTGAGACCTAATCACACTTAACATTCTCCCACAGACAAGTTGCATTAGAGATATGCAAGACAATTGTATTTCCCCTCCAGGAGTACAGTGAGTAAGCAAGAACAAGTGACGACAGATAATTTCCTCTAAATATTTGATTTACTGGCCAAAGCTCTCTGTGTGTGGGTCAATGAGTCTGTCTGTTCTGTCAACTCAGGGATACTGGGTCATTGCTTTCATTTGATGTCCTTTTTTTAGCTTAGTAAGTTTCATTACTGGGTCTGAAATATTAATAGACCAATGCTATACTCCTCCCCGCTCTCTTTATCCCTCTTTTCTGCCTTTCCTGTTGTCTCCCTTCTGTCTGTCTTATTCCCTTCCTCTCTACCTTCCTTTCCACTTGTGGAAATATTTTGGCAGACTACAGAGAAGCATACTTTTCTATACTTTTGGAGTTAAACATAATCTTTGGTGTTAAATGTCACTGTGAATTCCTTCAATAAAGTAAAGCCTTGATTGCTTGCTGTTTAAAATAGAGTAAAATCAAATATCTGGCGAATGCCCATTCCTTTGAGAGCTACACACAGATAGTAGAACCTATAATATGTTCTATGCATCTCTATGTTTTCAATACCAATGATTCTTCTTTTCTGAGCTTGGGGATTATATAGCAGCAACTAGGGAAACAGCATAACTAAACATCCTTATTATTATTATTATTATTTTGACTCACAATGAAACACAATAGTTTATTGTATCCAAAACCTTTCAGTAGGAGACCTCTGTCTACTCCTATACCCTAGATTTAGGTTATGGCTGGATGCAATTGGAAATACATTAAAAATGCATTTATTTGCTGGGCATGGTGGTGCATGCTTGTAGTCCCAGCTGCTGGGGAGGCTGAGACAGGAGAATTGCTTGAACTCGGGGGGCAGAGGTTGCAGTGAGCCAAGATCCCGCCACTCCACTCCAGCCTTGGCAACAGAGCAAGACCCTGTCTCAAAAGCAAAAACAAAAACAAAAGCATTCAAACCAGATTTTCTTTGTAAAATATTTCAGATTTGGAGGGCATAGGAGATTGAGTGGGTGGTAATAAACACAGAATCGACTGAATAGGTAACGTTAAAACTGTTAAACTAGAAAAGTTTTTAAAGAAGATATTTATTTAGGACTTCAAAATTGTCCAGGTACTATGCTAAATGTTTTATAAATGACCTAATGTCTTCCTTATAAAGTAAATGACCACCATTTACTGAGTGCATATCATGGGCTAAGCCCTTGTAATGCATTATCTTTAACTCTTAAACCTTCAGTCAAAGGTAGCAATCCTCTTCATTTGCGAGATGTGAGAACTAAGGCTTAGAGAAGTACAGTAACTCTCCCAAGGCTGCAGAGCTTGACAGTGTTTGAGAGGGTTTTCATTCGAGATCACTCTGATCCTTGAGCCTGGGCCCTTATTCTTCACCCCGTGGTGGAGGTACCTGCTTTGTCATTTCTCATAAATGCATGCTTTGGTGAAAACCACTTTAAAGGGAGCTTATGAAAAGGCAAGACTGAATTATTTCTAGGCCCTCCTGCAGTGGATCCTAATTTTTAATGTTTATGGTAATTTGCAAGGATTAGAAAAACGTAACACTTTCAAGACTTAAAGGGTTGTTTACTCAAGATATATATAACAATTTCCTCTCCATAGCTTAGATTTAGTGTTGGTAATTATTTTGTCTTTAAGATTACAAAAACTTTGTTTCAGAATGAAGTCTTTATTTGCACATTCCAGAATGGCTTATTGAAAATCAAGTATAGGCACAAATTAATGAAATACATATTACTGGATGTATTATAAACATATCAATATTTTCTATTTTCTCTCTTATGGTCTGTTTCTGTTCACAGCATGTTTGCAAGACTACACAGATGATTTGGGGACATTCACTTCTCCAAACTTCCCCAATAATTATCCCAACAACTGGGAATGCATTTATCGGATCACAGTGAGAACTGGCCAACTGATTGCAGTGCACTTCACAAACTTCTCCTTGGAGGAAGCCATTGGAAACTATTATACAGATTTTCTGGAAATCAGGTCAGCACTTTTATTTATTTCATTATAATCTTTTCATTATTTATTCTCATTAATAATCTTTCCTAGGAAGATTAAGGAAAAAAATATGGAAATTCTCTGCAAAGCTCCCTGCTGTGCACTTTCTTGCAAGAAATAAAGTTTGTCATTTGGAGCCTGACTTAGGAGAAATACAGGAATTGCATAAGATTCTGTGGTTATTTTGAAGTGATTATTTTATTGGAAATACTTGAAAATAAACTCCAGATTTTATGTGGGCAAAGAAACAGATGTGCTACTACTCTGAAATGATGTAACTTGCTACTGTTGAATACCTACTTTAATTATGTAAAATCGATGTAAATTTTAGGCTGTTTGCTGTTCATTTAATCTAATTATATTATAAAATGATGGCAGGATAGCAATCTTAAAGTTTTCACAAAGTTTTCATGTTCAGGTAATAAAAGTCTAGGCTTGTGAATTTCAGTACAAGGCATTATTCTTTCATTATCATCATTTTGAAAGAATGTGTTTAAAAAGTTATATTTGCAGTAAAAGTAAGTTAGCTTATATGTTACTATCTCTCCATGCCACTACTTTGAGTTAAATTAGGCTAATCATTCTGGTGGGCATCTATATCAAATGTTTTATTTGGGATTTTAAATCTGGAATCTTATGTATTATAAATGTTATTCTATAATATAAAGTAAGGTATTAAAATAATAAATCATAATTGGACCCTATCGTGCTAAAATGACATAATTTTCTTAATTTACAGCAGTTACTCACTGGACTTTGATGTTGAATAAATCCCTTTTTTGTTGTTTGTTTCAAAAAGCTACAGATTATAAACTAGAATTAAGGCCCCAGAAGTTTTTAGGAAAATGCTATTTCCAGAATTTTGCTAAGTATATCAAATATGATATATTACATTTCAAAAATTTCCAAATCAGAAGGAAAACGTTGAAAGATTCTCTGTAAAATACAGCAGTATGTTTATATAGTTAATAGTATAGTTTCTTTATCGTGTTTTCTCTGACACATTTGCCAGAGGCTTTATTCGAAAGGGTGAAGATTAAACATATTCTCTCAGTTTGTGATTGGTTATATAAAACACCATACCAGCTATGAATGATGGTTATTCTTTGTTAAGTCATTCAAATATGATTTTTAAAAATTTAAAAGTGAAAATCGTGTTTTTTAGAGTAAGTGTAGTGTTTGAGAGAAATTACTTCATCCAATAAACTGCTAATGTTTGCAATCCCAAAGTTCAAATTATGTTAAATGTTTATACAGTAATATTGTCAGTAACCCAATAAATTTTAATTTCTGTATTCTGCCAGAGATGGAGGCTATGAAAAATCACCATTGCTGGGAATATTCTATGGCTCAAATCTACCCCCAACAATCATCTCTCATAGTAACAAACTATGGTTAAAATTTAAGAGTGACCAAATAGACACAAGGTCTGGATTCTCAGCTTACTGGGATGGGTCATCAACAGGTAAATAGCAAAGAGCTGTCTTTTACTGGAGAAGCCAATCTGATTGGTTTCTTGATTCTGGGATTGTCATGCTCTGTCCCTCACTTGTCCATGTTTGCCCAGCTGTATTTAAACTTCAATATTGCAAATAATTTTAAATTAACAGCAGCCATTTCTTTTTAACAGACAAAGGGAGAAAGTTCTAGTTTCTTTTTATCAATAAATAAGAATCCTGGTTAGAATAAGGAAATTGCATTAATGGAAATTGGGGCTGGGTGCTGTGGCTCACTCCTGTACTCACAAACACTTTGGGAGGCCGAGGCAGGGGGATCACCTGAGGTCAGGAGTTTGAAACCAGCCTGGCCAACATAGTCTCTACTAAACATAGTCTCTACTGGCCAACCCCGTCTCTACTAAAAATACAAAAATTAGCTGGACGTGGTGGCAGGTGCCTATAATCTCAGCTACTAGGGAGGCTGAGGCAGGAGAATCGCTTGAACCTAGGAGGTGGAAATTGCAGTGAGTCAAGATCATGCCGTTGCATTCCAGCCTGAGTGACCCAGTGAGACTCCATCTCAAAAAAAAAAAAAAAAATAGAAAAAAATAAAAATTGGATTTTTAGGCTATAACTACTCTTTCATGATGCCATTTTGCTGTGCAATTTGATTTAAAGGATAGTAGAATGGCACCAGTTTAATGCAGACAAAAAGATTCAATTTCCCCAGAAGGAAAGGGGTGTGTGTCATTCCACTTCTTTCTCCTGTAGGTTGCGGGGGTAATCTCACCACTTCAAGCGGCACGTTCATATCTCCCAACTACCCGATGCCCTATTACCACAGCTCTGAATGCTACTGGTGGTTGAAATCTAGCCACGGCAGCGCATTTGAACTGGAATTCAAAGACTTTCACTTGGAGCATCATCCAAACTGCACTTTAGATTACCTGGCTGTATGTATAATGTTTCCATCATATTGTTCCCTGCTCCCATCTCACCCAACGCACAATGCACTTATTTTTATTTTCGAGATTCAGGAAAGGGGAGCATCTAAACCGAACATCCATATAAAAATTCAAACAAAATAAAAACATAAAAGAAATTTGGTGAAAGTGACCATCTTCGAAGTACTCAATGGCTCGATACACTAAGTATTTAAAATATATTGATAGACTATTAAGATATGGTGAAAATCTCCTGAAAGGGATTACAGGATTTATTATAATCATTATTTATGTTTTTCCACATATGCATTGAAAAATCACAATTTAGAAGACAGTTTTGGCGAAGTAGAGAAGATAATATGAGTCATTCCACTAGGATTTTTCACAGTACAGCAATTCACCATTGTTCATTTGTTAAAAATCTAAATAAAAATGTATTGAAGTGTCATGAATCATAAACTATGGAATCAAAAAACAAGGAGGACAGTTGACATCAGCTGTGGCATTACAATATGTATTGGGCTTTCATTTTCAATATTCAGCCTTCAGTGTAAGCTCACACGCTTATTACTGCTGCACATGTCCACAGCTTAATTGCCTGAGTTTATGGCCTGAGTTTATAAATACCTAAATATAATTTATAAGGTTATTTTATTTCATGGCTATTCTTTTGTGATGTCATATATATAACAAAAAATATATATTTATTATATATAAAGATATATTTATTTTATATATATTTATGTTTACATATAAATATTTAATACATATATAAATATATGTATTTAATGCAAATATAAACATATGTGTTGAATACATATATAAAAATATATGTATTAAATAAATTTATTTTATAAATATATTATATATAATGAATATTTATAATATTTTATATATAATTACATATATTTATTTATAATATATATACATAATAAATATATATATTTTTTCTTCCTCACTTCTTCTGGATTATAGTCCTTTACATAATGTTTATAGTCTCAACCATCTAACATTCAAAATATTTTCTTAAAGGTATATGATGGCCCAAGTAGCAACTCTCATCTGCTAACTCAGCTTTGTGGGGATGAGAAACCCCCTCTTATTCGTTCTAGTGGAGACAGCATGTTTATAAAACTGAGGACAGATGAAGGTCAGCAAGGACGTGGCTTCAAGGCTGAATACCGGCAGAGTAAGTGTGAATACCGGCAGAGTAAGTGTGTATACTGGCAGAGTAAGTGTGAATACCAGCAGAGTAAGTGTGAATACTGGCAGAGTAAGTATGTATACTCGCTGTTCAGTGCCTAGAGTGGGCCTTCAAATTCTTGAAACAAACTGAAATAAGTGTAACGCATTGGTGTGAGCAATTGAACTTCATCTTAGTTTCTTCTGTGAATCGTTTAACTCCATTTGAGGGAGAAATACGTATTAAATTTAATCTCATATAACTAAAACATCTGGCAAACTATAGAAACTTAGAAGAGTATTTAATATGCTGAGAGAGTTGCAATTCAGTGAAAGATCAGTGTACCAGACTAATGACTAATAGCTTTTCATTTGCCTCACACATTGCAATCTTGCAGTGTACATTATATTATTCCAATGTACATAGTATTCTATCACACTAGTCTCTACCTTAAAAAGTACCTTAATTTTATTAGGGAAAGCTGTGGTCCATGTGAGTCATGCATGGAATAAGCATGTTCTTTACAGTAGAAAAATCTGGCCATTGTACAGATGCCATTTTAAATCTACTTTTCCCAGATAGCAACATGATGGAATTAAAGGAACACTGAGCAAAATGTCAAGGGGCCTGGGGTTTGTTCTGGCTCCTAACCCTTGAGAAAGTCACTTTTCTTTGTGGTCCCATGGTTTCTTCTTTTAGAAAAGGAGATTAAATTAGATGGTCTCTAAACCTGCCTTCTAGCTCTAGAATTAAATGCTTTTTGAAGTTAGTTCCAAAATGGACATTCAAGAAAACAATATTTTCTTGAATTTGTTATTTGATAGAGACTTTTACTTTATCAAAGTAAAGTCTAGGTTTTGGAAACATAATTCTACTGAATCAAAATTTATCCATAATTTTACACAATTATCTTTTCCCACAGAATCAAAATTTATCCATAATTTTATGTAATTATCTGAAAGTGGAATTAAAAGTCACAAAATTATTAACTGTATACACAATATCCCTTGAATTAACTGAAAGAGTAATAACATTTAACCTTGATTATGTATGAATTTTAAGATTCACATTGATTTATATCTGGGGATTAGGCTGAATCCTAGATAGTTTTGAATATTAAGTTTTAATATATAGCTTTGTTCTTCAGAAATGTATCACTAGTACATAAAAAGGTCTCCTAAGTTCTATCAGAGATACATCTGTTTGACTATGTAATCATTTATCTAATTTTATTACTGCTGTGCTAATCTATTTCTGGTTATAATCAGATTGTTTAAGGGTTTCTTTTTTTTCTTTTCATTTCTGAGATATTTTTCTGTCATAATTTCAGAATCCTGAAAGTGTAAATGAGTGCACATAAGAGGCAAAATCAGAGCAAACTAGTGAGATTATCTGTAAAATTTGCCATGGGAAATTGGAGATTTACAAATAGTGTAAGGTCTGAGTGCTGAGAGTGGCCCATGTGGTTTACTGGAATGTATTTTCCTGGGCCCTGTGTTGCCCCTAGTCATCGAGGCACGTGATGCCTATCTGCCTAATAGGTGTACCTTCTCACAGTCTTCTAAAACAATAAGATTATTCTTTAAAAATCCTTTATGGACAAAACTGTGACCTAAAGATTTTCAAACAGAATGGGTTTAAGTATTCTCCCTGCTCCAACAAAGCAATATTTTGAAGAGCCACAAATGTACACTTTTTTAAACCAAAGTTATAAATGGTGTTCTACCCACCTTCAGAAAGCATATCGTAGTAGGAATACATCTATGAATCACACTTTCAGAGACAGCTCATTCCATATAATGTTTATTTCCCGTTCTCTTTTATTGCACATCATAGAGATAATATATTCCTTGTTTAAGTCATTAGGATTGGCTGAACTGGGCACCCAGGATTAGACATACTTAGAGGTATCTGGTTTGGTTTTGTTGAAAACTCAGCTCAAGAAAATGCCACCATTGGATTGAAGACTTTTTTTCTGTAATTTCACATTTTCCTTTCTTCTTTAAATCCTTTCTACTCTATCTATTCGCTTGGTACTTCCTGATGACTAACTAGAGGGAGAACGGAGCCTTTATTGTGAATTTCATGCAGACTTTTGAATGTTCAACAAAGCCATGTTGTTACTGGTTTTTAGCATTCCCATAGGATTTTGGGTTTTTAAACTGTTGAATTTAAAAGTCAGAATTTCTGTCCCTTCCACGTGTTAACATTAAAAAAACAGCAGCACAGAACGTCGAATGCGCTTCTCTAACAAACAAATCAGACTGATCCCTGAATATAACCAAGTTATTCTGCTCTCCACAAATTCAAGGGAATTTGATGCCTATTTTAACATGACTATTTAATTTTCATGACTCTTTAGTTTGAATTCACTTCAGTATTATTTCACATTTCTTCTAAATGGAAATCCTTTCACTATGAAAATACTGCACCAAATATATATGTGTGTGTGTCTCTGTGTGTGTATATATACACACACATATATACACATCATATATGTGTGTGTGTACATACACAGATGATTTTTATTTATTTTTTTTAAAGGAAAATCTCATCTTGGAGCACTTATGAAGTATATAATAGTGGTTCTTAACAGTCATTTCTTTTTCCAGCATGTGAGAATGTGGTAATAGTCAATCAAACCTATGGCATCTTAGAGAGTATAGGGTATCCGAATCCTTATTCTGAAAATCAGCATTGCAACTGGACCATCCGGGCAACAACAGGCAACACTGTGAACTACACATTTTTAGCATTTGACTTGGAACATCACATAAACTGCTCCACAGATTATTTAGAGGTATGTATTATAAAGCTTGATTGATCACTGCTTTTTCAGATCAAGGGAGATGTGTCAAGTTAGAATCCATCATGCTTTTTAGAATAAAATCCCTAACTCTGCCCCACGCATCTATAACACACCAACCACCCATGGTATTTGAACAGGTATATTTCATATTTAATGTATTAAATTGTGAATACAGAGAACTATCTATGTTTTTAGGTTTCAGTGTAACTTCTGGACTCATTGACCTCATATTACTTAACTTACATGGAAGGAGAGTAATAACCTCTATTTTTTGTTGGTTGTTTTTATGTTTGTTCTCTGTGTATAAGAGATCAGAAAATGTTTGGGTATCTTGGATTTATTTAAGATGTCATTTTTCTAGTATGAGGTATCATGGTTTTAATTGTTGTTTTTATTTTTAAATGTAAGTTCATTTCAGTATATTTTTATTTTTGTAAAATTGAAGTTTCAATTGTTATAATCATGACCACTAGTAACATTTATTCAACTGTCTGTATGCAATTTCAGGCAATAAATCTTGCTTAAATATTAGGCAACCTTGAATATAAGGTAATATGTTATTTTTGCAATAAGAAATTTTAACTTAAAAAGCTTTTTGATAACTTGCATATGTAACTTTTAGGGCTACAAATTGGGAGGTTATTTTGGCATCTACGTTTCATCATCAGTAAAATAACTTTTTGAGTCATCTAAGGCATTATCTTTATTTCTGTCTATATTGTTAATATATAATACTTCAAAAAATCCACATATAATGTTTTCACTAGATACCCTTTCTGAAGTGATAAGTACTTGCTCTGATAACAGGACATTTTTTTTCCCACCTGCCCTCCTACCTGCAGCCTAGTGACTTAAGGTAGTTGTTTTTAAGGTGGTCAGTGATTTTTAGAAGTCTTACTTACAAAGACTTCAACATCCATTGCTGGCAACTCTGGGGTCATATTCCCAGGAAAAAATATGTTATTCTTGTAAAATGTTCTTAATTGTGTTTTTACAAGTTGTATAGGAAAACTAGCATTGGTTGAGGTTGGTTGAGGTTAACATATATTTTCCAAATAGCACTTTTGTTTATGAAAACAAAGAGTGACAACAAAGCATTCTGCACTTTGAGAGACTCTGTGAGGTCCTAACTATAAGGAGATTCCCTTGTTTTTCAGAGATAATTTTTTGGGAAAAAATTTTGCCTTATATTTACAAAAGTACAATATTACAGAAATATTAGCCATAGTGTTTACCCATTAGAAAGTTTTGTTTACCAGTATTCTAAGAAAATATGACACAACATGAAACAAACTTACAAGCACGTACTTGGCAATGGTTTTAAAGTCCACCTTCCTTGACCTGGAGTTCAACTGGTCTTCACAAGCTTAATGATACCAGGATGGTATCATTAAGATACTACTAGAATAGGCATCCATTTCTTCACATGGTGAGACCTTGTTTGTGTTTTAGAAAAAGCAGAAAAGTTGCTTTCAAAGCCCTTTGTTTATACCGTGAACACAGCAGTTGGTCATACCTCCTTTTACCAGTTAGGACTATTCTGATTCCCACTGGACTGTGGGCTTCTCGAAGGTCTGTGCTGTCTCCTACTAACTTTGTAACCCAGGCACTTATTATACAGGTGGGACATTACAGGAGTTCAGTAAGTTCAAGTTGAATTGAATATCACAGCCATATTTTAGTATCAGTCTAATGATAACTACTAATGAATGAGAAAGATTGAATTCCAAACTGGCGTTTTTGTACGACCTCCTACACACGCAGTGCAATCCTACAAATTGGAGCACAAACCAAAATAGGACTCATGATCTTGCCGAGCGTTGCACGTATAACAGTGTGCTGGGCACCATAATCGTGATTTGGTAAAGCGTAATGGAGAAAGCCACAGAAAGGAGGATGCTTTTGAATTGGGCTTTAAAGGAGGCTTTGGCAGAAAGAGGGGGGAGGAAAGAGATGAAACATTTCCAGGACCTGAACTCCATTTCTTTCGACTCATTTGAGGATGAAATGGCAACAAAAAGGTGTTTAAAAACTCAAATTAAAAAATGCTTGTTCCAGCAACTGCAGAGTAGCTCATTAGAGCCCCTTATGGATGACGTGTCTGTCATGTTATGGTCATGCCATTTCTCTTGTGCAACATTGACGGTGAAAGAGCAAAAATACAAAATGAGAACCAGAAGTTCAGAAAGGCCTTCCAAAAAAACGGCGCTGTTGCCAGAGGGAGGAGATTGTTTTCCATCTCTGTGAGCCAAGAGGCCAGACCAGAGCAATAGCTGCAATAGCTGGTCTATGATGGAAATTTTAACACACAAACAACCATTTACAGAGAGAAAACTCACACACACAGAAATCTAGCTTCCATTATTTTAATCGCTTCTGGGTTTTTTCAGCTGACTTCCCCAAATCCCAACTGGATGCCTGTTACTAGAGCCAGAATTTAGTTATTCTGAATTAATAAAATGGAAACTACAAAAAGACTTAATTACGTGCTGGTCAGACACTATCCCGCCTTGATGAGAGGAATGGGTTTGAAAAGATCCCATTGGAAACCAAATGCATCCTTTATTATTTCACCCTCTGGGCAAAACAAAATATTTCAGATCTGGAAATAAAATATACAGTGGGAGAAGGGACCATTTGCTTAAAGGAGTGAGACCATTTGCCCGTGCAAACATGGGGAATCAACCTGAAGAGTTCTGGCTGTATTTTACAACTTGATTTCAGTCTTCCATTTTTATTTTGAGTCTGAGTCTCCATGCAGAAAAGGAGATTTCAAACGAGTGATTGAATATAGAAATGGAAATGATAGATTTGGGAGAAATCAACATGGAGATGTATAGGAAGCCCAGGGTATTTGTTAAGTCAACAGGGAGCATGTGTGTAGTGAGAAGAGGAAGTAGGAACACTAAGAGGTGATTGTGGCTGGGCACGGTGGCTCAGGCCTATAATCTCAGCTACTCAGGAGGCTGAGGCAGGAGAATCACTAGAACCCGGGAGGCGGAGTTTGCAGTGAGCTGGGATCGCACCATTGCATTCCAGCCTGGGTGACGAAGTGAGACCCTGTCTAAAAAAAAAAAAAAAGGTGACTGTGTCATGGGAGCCAAGGGAAGAGCAGTCGAGAGAGGTTGTGGTTCAGAAGGGTCCCTTGGAGATCAATGTGACTCTGGTCAGAGCAGTGTTTGTGGGGCGAGAGCAGGAACCAGACAGTGTAAAGAGGTACAAAGAGGAGAGTGAGTGTAGACTGAAGTCTAGGTCCCTGAATTCTGAGGCTCTCTGTAACAAACCAGAGTAAGTGATGGCTTCTTTTCTCCAATCCTTATCCTTCATTTCCCTAACTGGTCCTCATCTAGTTCACGTGTGTGGGACACACTCCTTTGCATGTTCTCTTGTATGTCAGTGCCTCTTTAAATGTGGCCCCAGAATTGGATGCAACAGTTCAACTAAACCTGGCTAGGCCCAAGTAGGTTGGAACCGTATTATCCAGTTCATATATTTCTGGTGGTCTATGCTGAAGTTAAATGGGGTTTATTGTAGCTAAGTCATGATATTGGCCTATATCAAGATTTATAATCTCCATATCACTTTTACATGAATTATTATGAATTTATGATTATATGATTTTTAAGAATCTAAACAGAGATATTTTTCCTAATAAATCAGATTTGATTTTGTCTGAGAATCCCAACACATCATGACCTCCCTAAATCTTCATTCATTGCTTTTCAGAGCATTATTCATTTGCATACAGACTCATTGGCCACTGACCTAGTACTTCTTCAAAAATAATTGATAAAAATGTCAAACAAGATTGCATCTATTTCAAATACTCTTAAATGATAAGTTCTTTTGGTTAAAATTGATCTATTATTAAGTGCTTTTGGAATAGCACTATTCAAACTACTAGGTAATAAAAGCTAATATTTATTCAGCATGTATTATTTGCCAGGTAATTCTCACAGCAACCCTGTATTATAAGAAATATTATCCCCATTCGTTAGGTGAGAAAAGTGAGGCAGATATAGGTTGTTCATATTCAGAAAGATTATAAGTGTCAAGGCCGGCTTTCTAGCAGGCACTGTAACTCCACACCGATGCTCTCAGCCATAACACCACATACCCCGGGAGCACTCTCACAGTGTCCTGTCACCCTCACAGGGATCATGGGGAAGTGTTCCTGCTGCCCCCAAGTCTACCATTCTATTGACACTGCCGCAAAGAGAAATCAATGTTTTGCATGACTCCATAGATAAGCAGGTGCCATTTATTATAATCACCTCTTTCTTTGCTTCATGTTGACAAATTATTTTTAGTGTCTAATTTAGAATTTTTCCAAAAATTACTGTTAATCTTACTGATCTACGAGATTCTAGAATGAATCTTTCCCCATCTTGGAAGCTGGAACGTTTTCCCTTCAGCCCCCTGGCAGCCCTGCTGGTTCTCCTTGTCTGGGCTCGCACTCTTGGTGGTGGCACCGAAACACAATCTGAGCCACATGAAGAGGACAGGCGCATGTGACAGGCTGGTTACTTTGAGAAGGCTCACACCTCCCCACACACAGGAGAGGCTGAGAAGCCTGGAGAAGGTGGGAAGCCAAGAGAGTGAGGCAGATTCTCCACTCCCACTTCCTAAGGCTCTGCTCCTGCTCCCTGACTGTTCCCATCCATTCCCATCCCTCTCCCCAAAGGCTTCCTCTGAGTTTCAGCAACCTCGGAATTTTAGCTTCAACAACATGACCACCCCAGCCTTGACCCTACAGGATCATTTACCTCAAGTGCTTGCATACAACCAGACTTTCCCTTGGTGACAAATCCCCAGCACAGGGAGCTCATGTGTTTGAGCTCGACAGCAAATGCATGGGTCTAGCCTGCCTATGGACGATACTCATTAGGGCAGTGTAGCCAAGCCCTCTAGCCGGTGATGTTCACAGATTATGTTCTGGGCAGAAGCAGAACTTGTGAGCAGGGGCATAGATTCCGCTGGAATGCTAAAACTTTTTTTTTTTAATTTAACTTTCAAGTTCAGGGTATGTGCACTACCCTGATAGTAGTACACATACCCTGAACTTATTTATTATGTAGGTAAACTTGTGTCATGGGTGTTTGTTGCACAGATCATTTCATCACCTAGGTATTAAGCCTAGTTCTCATTATTTTTTTGGATCCTCTCCCTCCTCCCACCCTCCACCCTCAGGTAGGCCCCAGTGCCTGCTGTTTCCCTGTCCTGTGTCCATGTGTTCTCAGCACTTAGCTCCCACATATAAGTGAGAACATGCAGTACTTGGTTTTCTGTTTCCTGCATTAGTTTGCTGAGGAAAATGGCCTCCAGCTCCATTCACATTCTTGCAAAGGACCTGATCTTGCTCTTTTTTATGGCTGCGTTGAAAACATTAACCATGAACTATGCACCCATGAATTCACCAAGATTACAAAATCAGCTCTGTAATCACTATACCTTTCAGTGCTGTGGCATATAATTCCCTTAAGCCTGGAAAAGTTCATTGAAAAGAGTTGACTCTTTTATCTTCTAAACTGGAATTCCATGTCTCTTCTTCCAGTTTCAAAATCAAACTAGGCATGTTTCTACCTCCTCTTCATTGACATCACACTCTCTTCTGAAAGCATCCATGCCATCCGTGTTTCCCTCTTTCATTTGCCCTAGTCACAGCCTTAAAATTAGACATTTTTTCTAATGTTCAACAATATTTTTCTGTGCCATTTCCCAAAGTTTAGCTAGTTCGTATGTGTACCCATAAAATGGTCAGAAAGTTCCATGGAGCCTCTTGGATTTCTGCTTAGATTGATTTCTTTAGAGGGTTCTCCTTTTTTGCACCCCCCAAAATTATTCCTGATTTTGTAGTGAGAATTTAGTTTTTCAGAATTTGCCAATTTTCTAGAATGTTCTTTCCTTTTTCAATTGCGTTTTCATTTGTTTATTTTTTTTTTTTATCCATAGGTTTATATCTTGTTTTGAAGTTTGAATCCCCAAAACCTTAGTCCGGTTAAGTGGTCAGCCATCACAGGCTCTAAGTTAAGGCAAGGTGATCACTGTCTCCTATTGTCTTGGTGACTTCCATATTAACAACCACTTCTTTGCTAGCCAGAATTAGTCCAGAGTTGCACTTCTCTTCACTGTCTCCTTTATATGAAGAGAGCATATAAAGAATTCAACAAATGCTACATTTTTTGGGGGAACAAGACATCTCATAGGTGTCCAGATTGTTGAAACAGTCTCCCCGTCGCCACTCCTGTAGATCTCTTTTGGTACATTAGTGTTTATAGATTTCCTTTACAAAAGATTGCAGTCTCTACTGAAAAGAAGCTGAGGTGGGAGGATAAAGTCCTTATAACTGGCTACCAAATCTGGCTGCATTCCAGAATCATCTGGGGATCTTGTTAGAAAAATTTATTCCTAGTCCTCATCCCAGACTTAACCAAATCCTTGAGGATTCCCCAAGAGCAAGCTTTGCACAAGCCCCTGGTCCAGCACTTGAGACCACTGTTCATAGCCCACTTCCACCAAGATAGCCTGTTTTATCCTCACTTCAATGCTCTCTCCTGGGGAGGGAAAAGTATCTTAATAGGCATCTTGTTAACATACATTTGCCTGCTATTAAATGTTACTTTCCAGTGAGGACTTACTCTTCCATTGCTATGGCTGAGTTATGTATTTTATCTCACCAAGGCCTGGTCATACAGTTGATATTATGTTTACCTCATTATATTAAAAATGTCAGATTCACTTTACAGTTTTTGTATTCTGATTCTAAACTTTCTCCCCCTTTTCCTTATCGGGCACCTTGACCACTATCATCTTCCATTAAATCATTTCCTTATTCCTTCCCCTTTTCCACTAAAGTCCATTTCAAGTCCTCGTGATAGTGTGGGGGACTTCAGTCAAAGGCATTTCCCTCCAGTCTTTATAACATGCATTTCATCTCTTGCCAAATCCTTGCTGATGTCATCCTGTTCACCCCAGATGCTTATATCACAGTTTGTTGCACTCCCGTATCCTCCTTTCAGTTGCAAAATAATGCATTCCAAGAGGAAGAATGGATAAAAAACATCACCAGTATCCCTGAATCTTGCAGTGTCACATCCATATTCTCCATGTCTACAGCCTAAACAACATTTTCCATATACCACGACTGAGAAACATCGGGCTCATGGGATATTGTCAATACTTAAAGTGATGCTAGCTGTTATGGAGAACTCATACATTCTCAGTTGCTTACTGCAACACAGGTTATTTCTAATCACATCAGAGTAAAAGGCAGGTGTTCCTGGCTTCCATGTGGTAGTTCATGAAACCAAAGGAAGGGGAAGTCAATTTGCAGAAGCCACATAACTGTCTCTGCCACAAATGTTGGTAGATGTTTCACAAATAGAGACCTATATTCTAATAAATCTGCGATATGCCAAATTAAAACACAATTAAGCAGGGTTTGTTGTTTTGTTTTGCGTTTGCTGTGGTATTTCCTCAGGCTGTCACTATCCTAAATATGCATTCTTCATTCCTTTATCCATGTATCCAGTCAGTAGGATATATTTTAGACACTTAGGCTATGGACATGTGACTGTTTTAGCATCAGTTTTCCTTGTCATGATGGAGGAAACACACCTTAATCAATTTATCACACAATAAAAATTTAACCACAGGCAGCGTTAAGTGCTGGGAGGGACAATTATAGTGCACCCAGAAGGCATGAGATGGGAACTGAGCTCCTTTGTGGGTCAGGAAAGGCCTCCCTGAGGATGAATAACACACCAGGTGCCAGGAGGCTTGAGATGTGAGGGACTGGAAGGAGAGCAGTGTGAGGCTCTCAGGTGGACAGGGACCTGGCCTGCAGAGCAGGGTGGGCACATTAAGAGTTTCAGAGACCTCCTGGAGAGCAGCAGGAGGTCTTTCAAGGATGTGGTCAGATCTGCACTTTTAAAACAATCACTCTGGCTACCAGAATAAACTGGAGGGAGGTAAGAGTAACGGTGGAGACCCAGTAAGGGGATTGCTATAGGCCAAGGGAGAGAGAACTCCAGGTCTTCACCATTGCTGGGGAGGAAGCATGAGATCGAATGATTTCAGAGCACTTAGGAGGTACAATTGACAGAGATGGATAACAACAGGATGAAGGAAAGGGAGACATCAGAATATAGCCTGATAGATAGAACTGGACGCAGGGAAAACCACCAGGGGAGATTAGTCCCAAAGAGATTATCCTTGCCCAGAAGTCTGATTAATGAACATCTATTGGACATTTGTATTCCATAGAACATTCTGAGGAAAACATTATTCTAGAGATATTTTCCAAGTTTATTTCATTTTCCCCTCATACAAACAAGCAAACTTTGAAGTTCATGAGGCATTAGAGAGTTATTCGCATCTCAGATGTTATTTTGAGAATTACAGTAATATTTGTCATTAATGGAATGCCCATCATGTGCTAGACACTACTACCAATACTTTGATAGATATAATTGTCTGTCCTCATAGTAGTCCAGTAACTGAGTATAAGTATGCTCACAGGAGAACAGGGATTGAGATGGGGAACCATACTCAGTGCAGGAAGTGTCATCACTACATGAAGTGATGAAACTACGTTCACACTCAGTGCTGCACGAATACAGTGTGGGCTCTGGAGTCCACCTGGCTCCAAAGCTCTTTACCAGCTGTGATCTTGGGCAAGGAATTTAACGTCTGGCTGCTTTGGTTCTCTCGTGTGTAAAATGAAGATAATAATCCACACACCTGGAAAATATTGAGTCCTCAGGAAATGCTTATTACTCCCCTCCACGCCCCTTCTGGAGAGAGCCCAGCTCCTGCCTGGTCATTCAGCTTCTTCCTGGGACACTTCAGGAAATGGTTTCTCACCCTTACACCAGCTGACCTCCATCTCTTGCAAATGCCATCTCCATTCCTTGTGCCCTGCCAGTTAGGAGCAGTGGCTCCTCCCTGGCGAGGTCTATCTTCCTCTCCAGGCAGAGTTCACATTTTGTTTTCTTTCTCTTCCGAGTTCCCTAACTCGATCCATGGACTTCTCCATAAGGGCTTTGCTTTCTCTCTGTGCTCTCCGAATCTGTTTAAAGGCAAATTTCTTCTGTCCTTGGAAAGACCTTGCATCCGCTCTAATAAGTGAAGCGTAAATCAGTGTTTGTGTTTGCAGTGCACGTCACTGCTGGTCACATGATGGCATAACAGATTCCAAACAGGTGCCAAGGATGATTCTTCAATTTCCAAATTGCTTGGTTTAAAGGTAAACGCCAGTCTTTAGCTCCCTATTGAAAACAGCTCCAGGCACTGTGCTTTCTATTGTTCTAGAGGGGAGTCACTGGAATTAGAACTGCCTCAGCCAGCACTCTTCTATCTGGTGACTACCATGGGATGCTAATGACAAAGATGTAGTAAGTCCTCTAGCACTCGTTCGCAAGAGAATGTCTTCTAGGCACCCAGACATATGATAGAATGTGCTGAATTGGTAGTCTCTGTACCTGCTTCAGAGTGAAGCAGGTAACTTCAGAATGAAGTTTAAACCCAAACTCCACTACTTAGTAGCTAGGTGACCTTGGGCAAGTTCCTTAGTGTCTATGTGCCTCACTTTCCCTTTCTGTAAAACGGAGTAATAAGAGTCAATGAATCCATATATGTAAAGAGCCAAAACAAGGTCTGGCAAATAGAGAACAAATCTATAAATGTTCACTGTTATTATTTGCACTGATGCTGATGTAAGAGAAACATCTCAGTAAGGTATAGAGAAATTCACAAATAGAGAGCCTTCAATTCTTTAGGTTGAGATATAATTAATGATTCATTTCTCAAGACATTTAATTTTCCTCTTGTTTTCTGCCTGCAGCCTGCATGGTTAATGCATTTTGACACTTCTCACTAAGGATAAATGACAAATGATAAAACCAACAATTTTTGTCCACTTATTTTACTCAAAGCTCCGTTAAGAAAAATAATGAAAAAAATTTTAATTTCAGTGACTAACAGGAGTGTTCGTATTGTCCCTATCATTTTAAAAATTGTTTTGGTTACTCTCTATTATTACAGAGAATAAAGACTTTCTGTATCCTGGAGTTTAACAACTCTTATTTTATTTTATTTTATTTTTGAGACAGAGTCTTACTCTGTCGCCCGGGCTGGAGTGCAGTGGCGTAATCTTGGCTCACTGCAACCTGTGCCTCCCGGGTTCCAATGATTCTCCTGCCTCAGCCTCCCGAGTAGCTGGGGCCACAGGCACCCACCACCACACCTGGCTAATTTTTGTATTTTTAGTAGAAATGGGGTTTCACCATGTTGGTCAGGCTGGTCTCGAACTGCCGACCTCAGGTGATCCACACACCTCGGCTTCCCAAAGTGCAGGGATTACAGGCATGAGCCACCACGCCCGACCAACAATGCTTATTCTTAAGAAAAGAACTGCCACAGAAGGAAATAGGAAAAATTCTTCTTCAGTAGTTGATGCCTTTCAAAATATTAAATTACTAAACCTCTACCTACCTCAGTTTCCAGAACTCTAAAATGAAGATAACAATACTACCTGCATTACAGAGCTGCTAGGATTTTTAAATTAGAATAATGACCAGCATGGAATAAGTGCTAATACATATTATCTATGGTTATTTTAACATAAACATAGTCTCATGGATTATTTTTTTGTGCTCTGAAGCAGGAGACCCCAATCTTTTTGGCACCAGGGACTGTTTTTGTGGAAGACAGTTTTTCCACGGACCGGGGGTGGGGTGGGAGGGTGGTTTCAGGATGATTCAAGTGCATTGTATTTATTGTGCATTTTATTTCCATTAGTCTTACATTGTAATATATAGTGAAATAATTATACAAGTCACCATCATGTAGAATCAGTGGGAGCCCTGAGCTTGGTTTCCTGCATTAGACAGTACCACTGGGGGGTGATGGGAAACAATGACAGATTATCAGGCATTCGATTCTCATAAGGAGCACGCAACCTAGATCCCTCGCGTGTGCAGTTCACAATAGGGTTCATGCTCCTATGAGAGTTTGATGCCACCAGTACTGGTCTGGGGACTGGGGCTCTTGCTCTATAGCATTTTGTGGTAAATAAATCTGTGGTTTCCAGAGCAGCCTTCCCAGTTGTAATTAACATCAATTGGCCCCACTGTGTTGAAAGCAGTGCTGCTTCTCCTGCCTCCCAGTTTTCCTACAAAAGCCACTGGGATTGTAGATAAAATCCTGTTTTCCAGTTGGCGAGATGCAGAGAAGCAGATGAGATTTTGTCTGAGCAGCGGTGGATCTGAGCCGACTTTGATTATGGCTCCACCGCCAACGCTTCCTGGGCAGATGAGTCATGCTTCCTGGAACTGTCTGTCAGAGGAAGTTTGCTTCTGGGACTTTTGCATTTTGCTTAGAGCTTAGAGATAAGCTATTACAATTCTAAGTTCAGCTGCTATTCAAAAACATGCATAAAAGCTGGGAAGAGTTTACCAAACATTTCAATTTATAACTTGATACCAGATATGAGTCTAGCACCGTACTAAGCATGATACCTGGATTCAAAAAAAGTTTAGAATGAAGTATATCCATTAGTTAGCGAAGCCAGATGCTTTGTAGTGTCGTTGAGTTTAGCATGAGGCATTTTAGAAGAAATTTTGGTTTTAAGATTGCCTGAGTAAAATGTGATTTTTTAGTTATAAAAAATTGAAAGAAGAAATGTTATTTCAGTGTGATCAGAATCCCTTTCCTTAAAAAGAAATGCTGATCTTTTCTGACCATCTTTCACAATGAAGGATTTTCGTATGATTGCATTAATTTGCAGCAGTTAATGAACCAACGTTCCAACCTTCAAAAGAGCCTCTGCTCTCAGATTCAAAAGAAACTCTGCGTGTTTCCTCTCTTCAAACATGAAGGACAGAATTAGGATGAATAATAATCAAACCTAAAATAATTTCTGAACTACCCTGAAGCAGTAAAAATTCCATTAGATGCTCAGAACTTGAATTGTCCTATGCACACTGCCTTTCCTGGTTGACCTCAGGTTGCTCTGCTCCTCAGACTGGCGAAAGGCAGGGCAACCGAAAGGTCTCTTCCACTATCAGACAGGCTCATGGTATGAATAAGCATGCATTGAGCAAAATGCTAAATTTTAAACACTGGTAATCACAGTTGTGGGTTTCAGTTAACTATATTGACTTTCTACTTTTTAAAATGGGAAAGATTTCCAATTGCAACATTACAGAATTTTGTTTAAACACGTCTTTACCCTGCAGTTCCTACATTGGCTCTTTATTTATTTATTTATTATTTTTTCTTTCTTTCTTTCTTTTTTTTTTTGAGACAGAGTCTCACTCTGTTGCCCAGGCTTGAGTGCAGTGTTGCATTCTCAGTTCACTGCAACCTCCGCCTCCCAGATTCAAGTCATTCTCCTCCCTCAGCCTCCTGAGTAGCTGGGATTACATGCGCCCACCACCACGCCTGGCGAATTTTTGTATTTTTAGTAGAGACAGGGTTTCGCCTTGATGGCCAGTGTGGTCTCGGGCTCCTGGCCTCACGTGATCCACCCACTTCGGCCTCCCAAAGTGCTGGGATTACAGGCGTGAACCATCGCACCCGGCAGGCTCTTTATTTAATAGACTTTCTTTTCCTGATCTCACTGTCTTCAGGGAGAGCCCGGATGGCAGTCCTCTGGCTTCTTCCAGCTCAAAGGTCTATGATTTCACGTTGTTCTATGAACCAGGTTCTTCTCTGTTCCTGAGACCATCTGCAGCAGGTGGTGAGAATTTTAAGAGGCATAATAATAATAATAATAATAATAATAATAATAATAAATGTTTAGTGTTTTACTGTAGCAGGATAATTGGCAGAGGGAAGGCTGAGGTTTATGGAATTAAATTTTCATGTATACACAGGAGAGTATGCTTAGCTTTCAAAGCATTTCACTTACCACTAGGGAGGGATTTAGGAGCCCTTGCTCCATCAGTGACTATCGAAACATATGTTTACATGAAACCGTCAGTCCCTGAACATCTGAAGACATTATTATTTTTAAAATTTTTAATTTTTGTGGGTAATTAATAGGTGTATATATTATGGGGTACATGGTGTGTTTTGATACAGGCGTGCAATGTGTGATAGTCACATCATGGGAATAAAGAAATAATTTTTTGTAAATAATTAGCCTAATTAATAATAAAAATCTAGTTATGATAAAAGGAAGCATTATAGGCAAAATATGATTTTAAATTAATGCTGGAGCAGATTACCTTACATGGTAACATTTCAGTGGATTAATTTTTACATATAACCTTGAGATACTTAAGAAAAGATTATGGAGATAGACAATTTAATATTTTTAGTAGGCCAGGTGTTTATTTGACAGTCTAAAAGGGTATGAAATTCTGAGATTGGAGAAGCATTACTAATGCATATCTCTACTGCCATGTCAATAGGTCCCCAAAGATATTGCTTTAAAAATAAATTTATCAGATCACAAAGGAATTTATAGTCATTATAGGAAATTGGGAAAATGTAGAAAAAGCTAGATTAAAAAATCCTAAAGTATATCATTATTACTAATATTTGGTGGTATTGATTTCCTGTCATCGCTCCTTGTATATTTATTTTATTTTAATATTCGAAGGAGATTATTCAGTACATACTAACCCATAATGACTTTTTTCACCTAACAATAGCTTGTGACTATTTCCCCATGTTATTTATTATGTCATTTTCAACATTGCTCATCCCATCATCACAATACAGCCACCAATTCCTGTTGTGAAACACTTAGAATCTTTTCAAATCTTCACCATTAGAAACAGTTCTGAGATAAGTATCTTTGTAGTTAAATGTTTTCCCACACCCATGATTGGACAATGATTTAAAAAATAAAAAGACTCAAATTGTGGCTTCTAATAGGAGTAATATATAGAAAGCAGAATAAAAATGTAAATTCTAGTAAGAGCAGACAGCAACTAGCCACCACATAGAAAGGAAACGCTGGTTTTTATATGAGACAGACCTGTAACTCAGGGTGACACCAAGTAACTCAAAATGTGGTATTTCGATGGGTTTTTTGCTCTCATGCAAAGCCCAACATTATGAGTAATTGTTACTTTTAGATGATATTTCATATTTCCTGCCCCACCCTGTCAGCACATGGCAAGGCGGCTTTTTCTGTGCCTATGTCAGGGAGCATGCTATGAGTGGCCATGTGCCTTATGGAGGGGACTTAGCCTCCCAAGGGCCATCTTGGAGTCGGCTGGGATCAACCATGCTCTGCTTATCAGCCTTCCTCTACATTTGCCTCATTTATCCACCATGATTTGATTTTGCATTTGCCCCCTTGGGCTTTGCTTATCCACAATGGAAGCGCTGTATCTCCTCTGTGATTCTTATTATTTATTTATTTATTTTTTTTTTTGAGAGAATCTTGCTCTGTTTCCCAGGCTGGAGTGCAGTGGTGCGATCTCGGCTCACTGCAAGCTCCACCTCCTGGGGTTCAAGTGATTCTCCTGCCTCAGTCTTCCAAGTAGCTGGGACTACAGGCGTACGCCACCACACCCGGCTAATTTTTTATATTTTTAGTAGAGACAGGGTTTTGCCATGTTGCCCAGGCTGGTCTTGAACTCCTGGCCTCAAGTGATCACCCGCTTCGGCTTCCCTAAGGGCTGGGATTACAGGCGTGAGCCACCACAACCAGCCTCTGTGATTCTTGCTTTGCAATTTCTACTGTTGTTACAGGAACATTTCAAAGCCCTTCAAATTTAAAGTAACCTGAACTTGGATAAAGTTCCAAGTTTTTCCAGGAGATGTGAGTGCAAACCTCAGCAACAACATTTTTAACAATCACCCTAATGAGGCCTCTCCACAGATCCTGCTGTGGTGGTTGTTTGGGGTGGGGAACATCTGAGCAGATGCCCTGAGAATTCCCTAGGTCCCATCCTTCTGGATCTCCAGTGATTCAGCAGCAGGAACTACAGGGCTGGGTAGGACCCAAAGGGGAAGGGAGGCTGCAACAGGAAGAGATGCTGCTCACTTTTAGCATGAGAGCCACTTTGCTTGCCAGTGGACTCTATCCACCTCACCGTGGCAGCCTTAACAGCCTCTGGTTTCCTAACTCTCTTTGCTGCTGTCCCCTGCATGATCTGTCCTCCCGCAATCCCTTCCACACACACAGCATGCTTATCTCCACCCCACACAGGATGATTCGCCTTGGTTTCTGCATGGCTGTCCGGGATGCCTCAGTCTCCACAATGCCCAAGTTGTCATAGCAACACACTGCGAGGATTGGCCTCCACCTCCTCACTGAATTCATCACTTCCCCATCTGCCCTACCAGTGACGATTTCTGTGAACTCTTTTATGTGAGTCAGCTCCTGTTCTCTAATCCCCAACATCTTTCTTTTCTCATAGCTATTTTGGGTGGTTTCTCTGGAAAAAAATGTTGATTCCCTTTGCCTCTGACAAAGAGTTAGAGTAACAATTTGAGCACATTCCACATGCCAGGCCTCATAGCAAACCTTTTACGTGGTTTATCTCATTTGCTGTTGGCAACAATATTATGAGATAAGTACCATTATGGTGCCAGATTTATAGATAAAGACATTTTAGCTTGAAGAAGTTCAATAATTTTCACAAAATTGTGTTCTCTAAATTTTAGAGCTGGGCTATGAACACAGAGCCTGGCTCTGGCCACATTGACATTAGTCAAGTACATTCTACAATAAAATTGCTTTCCTGCTTGTGATTGAAATATAATCTTCTATTAGTGACACTCACTTCAAAATGCCACTCTATAAACTGATTGAGTATAGTTCTCAAAAATTGAACGATCATCTTTTCATTGAGTAGAATTTTTATTCTATAGAAAGAATAGGGGATTCTCTACTACACCCAAAATTTCTCCTCACAGCAGATGAATTATTTCAATTACATATTAAGCTCTAAAGAATAGAGGTTTTATGGAATTTGCAAAGATTTATAATTGGAAATGGACCAAATTATTCTCCAGAAGTTTCTCCATGTTTTAATGATATCATCCTAAAGAAACTCTTGAGTTGCTTTTTCTACATGAACTATATTTAATTAATTCTTAAAATTGATCTCCTATAAAAAAGAATTTTCTTCCAGAAGACCTTCCAGGAAATAAAAGAAACAACATTTACAAACAGTATGAATTAGATGTCAATCTAAAACAGAAAGGGCTGAGTTTTAATTGTCACTCACTGTGATTCTAAAATGAGTTTGGGGCTGGGCATGGTGGCTCGCACTTGTAATCTCAGCTCTTTGGGAAGCCGAGGTGGGCAGATTGCTTGAGCCCAGGAGTTCGAGACCAGCCTGGGCAACATGGCGAAACTCTGTCTCTACAAAAAATACAAAAAAAGTAGCTGGGCATGGTACTGCATGCCTGTAGTTTCAGCCATCAGGAGGCTTAGGCAGGAGGATTGCTTGAGCCTGGGAGGGTGAGGCTACAGTTAACCTTATTGCACCACTGCACTCCAGCCTGTGCAACAGAGCAAGATCCTGTCTCAAACAAACAAAAAAATAGTTAAGAAAAAAAGTTAATCTCTACATCCCAAGCTCATATATATAAGATAATTACTTGTAATTTTAATTTATTACAGTTTTAAATTTTTAGCCATGAAACAATTTAGCAAGCAAGGCACTTGAAAGACATATTTTTGTTCTTGGAGATCCTGCAGTTCATAAAGTTGATTTCTACTGAGGGGACAGGTGGGGTGTCTGGGTCTCTGCTCACTTAGAACTTGACTTTCAGTGACTCCTAAGTACCCTCAATCTTACAAAAAAATTGGATCTCTATCAGTGATTGACCACACGTGGTGTCTTTAGTGTTATATCCTCCCCTTTGTTATGGGTCCTTCCTATTTAGAAGTCCACGGATCACTTCCTATTGCAACTGGAGTCTGAATTCACTAATGGTATTGTAAAGTATGTGCCAAATTATCAAACCCGCACAAAGGAAGTAGAAACTGGTAAGTATGGCTAAGGCAAGAGATTTCCTTCCTCTCTGAGTGTGTCAAGAGGAGTTGAGATATTTGGGGGTAGGGTGGGGGTGGGGGGACCTAAGCCACGAAAATCCTAAATGAATAATCTCTTTAAGAGAATAACAAAAGATTTCACAGAGGAAGGTTTTGTAATATACACATCTCCGCATCTGAAGATATATTTAATGGCCAATTTGAAAATGTAAGCATTATTTTAGTAATTTAGAAAAATACCCCTAAACACAGTTATAGAAATTAGATCTGCATATTCAAGGTGAGAATCGCAATCTTTCTTAGTTTTTACTAGTTTCCTTTCTGTAACTCAATTAGAACTTCAAGTATTGTTCACTCTGAGTAGATCTTCAGGCTCTCTAAAAGCAGGGCCACTCCAGCTTGCTTGTCAGTAGTTGCAATGAGTCACAGCTGGAACGTCCTGTGGTTAACATTCTGCTCTGAAAACAGAATCAGAATCAGTGAGACGGCTTTCCATGGTAACCTGTATTTGTATACTTTGAAAAATGACTGTTCCTTTTTGTGTGGTTTTGGGTGGTCAATTTGCGCGGGAATGAATTGTAGAGGTGACGTTACCCATCTGTGTGAATATAAACAAAAAACCTGATTTTATTAACGGCAAACTTTAAAAAACGAGGTATGAGTTTTTTTTTTTTTCCTTTTCGAGACATTGTTCTACACATTTATTACTAGATTGGACATTATATTTAAGCATTTTCATAAATGTCTATTTGATGCTTATTTTAATGCATAATTTTCTCCCCCCAAAGGCAAAAAGAAACTAATTGTCATTCATCAGTGTTGCCCCCCAAACCTACTGCCTAGCCCCTCCACCCCCACCCAGTACTTTTACAATGTGTTATTAAAGACCACTGAACAGCTGAGATCCAGGGGTCTCCTTCAATGCGTAATCCCATCCAGAAGGAAGGAAAAAAAAGAAATCTCTTTAAGTCACGTGAAAATGCCACATTTCTTAATCTTGCAGAGCTGACAGGCAAAAATGCTATGCTGTTCATGACCTTGTGCAGGATTGAAATATAATTCCGCAACATGCTGCGACCTAGTATTCCGTAAGACACATCGAGCTTAGGGTGATTATAGTTATGGAGAAATCTTACCTATGTTTTGTTGGATAAGGGTTATGATGACTTAGCCTGGGCTCAGAGGCCTGACAGAAATGAAATAATTTATGCTTTGGTCACTAAATTACAATCCAAAGGTTAAGATTTGGGGAGTGAAAGATGGTAGAGCATTTGCTTGCTAATTACTCCACTACTTGGGAGCAGTATGTTTGTTTCTGTGCTAATTAGTTTAGAACTGTACTTCATGCCCTAGAATTAAGAAAAACTCTAAAGCTGAGATGAATCTCCTGCAGGGAAGCAGGGATTTAGAAGCACAGGCTGCAAGGTTGGCCTCTCGCCCTCCGGTTTCTCCGCCTGCAGGAGAGGGTGGGACTGAACGCTAAGGTGAAAAGCTTCTGTTCCGTTTCGTTTCCCTCTTCATTTTCTGTTGCTTTATTCTTCTCTTATTCTCCCCTATTCATTATAGGGGAGGCTTCTGATAAATGTGTAGAATATTAGAAACTTGATAATAAATATACACATTCAAAGCAGCAGTACGAAAAACAGAAAAAAAGGAAGCTACAGCAGTAAGCCTGAAAAATAAAACTCATCTTTATTCATTTGCTTAAAATGCTTAGGTTTAGTGCTTTGGGGTGAATGACATAATAGGCTTCTGAGCTTGTCTTTTTAAAAATATCTGCTGACCTTCCCTGAAATCTCACAAGCACTTATGATGAGCAGCCGATTTGAGAACTCAGCGAGACAGGCCAAGGTTTAAAAATCTGCGATTTATCATAACCTTAAACAAGGCCCTCACCTGGTTCTCCCTTCTACGGAGTGGCACAAAGGGTCCAAATCCTTTATGGTCTAAGAGGAGCCTGTTGAAATTGAGGATTGTATGGCACTACTACCTATCTAACTGTACAGAGTGCAAATAATCGTGCAGATTGGGTCCTAAGTAAAATAAATACAGCTGGCGGGGGAAATCACTGCGTTCATTCATTGGAGATGCATGGGGAACCTGCCTTTATCAAAGCCCTGCTCTGGGCAGTGAGGGGAAGGCCAGAGGTGGTCTGTGCTTTAAGGCGACTCACAATCAGTAGGGGAGGTAAGACACACAAGCCCATAACAAGAATGCCTGGGGATGTGATCATTTCCACAAAAGAAGCACAGATGAAAAGCAAGGGCTTTCAAAGGCAGACTAATTTATGCCTGACTGCAGGGATTAGGGGCGGCTCCATGGAGGTGCTTTGTAACATTTGGTGGTAAAGTTCTCCACACTCAAATCAATATGTTTCAAACAATATTTCATGTCATAACATTTTTTTTCAATGAAAATAATTTGATCAGTCTGGAATTCATTGAATCCAGATTATACATTTATGCACGGACACGTGCAAACACACAGACACTCACACATACTCTTAAGTAGATGTACTCTCCAAGGGCATCCTCGAGGAAATCCATGAGTCCATTACCAGGTATTTTATGTTTCGTTGTCATGGGCAGCTTATCCCAAGGGTAACTGGAACAAAGTGTTTAAAGGGAACATGAAGGCGATTAGGTGAAAATGTAATGGCCTTAGTCCTGAGGAAGCCAGTCTTGTTGGATTGCCATTATCTTTCTCAAGTGAAGAGATATAGTAGAGAGATTTTTGTGTTTTTTAATTTTTATTTTTCAGTTTGGAGATATACAGCTGATAAAATCATTAAATGAGGTAGGTTAAGGGGACACAACCTTGCACCCTCCATTTCTCCTTGAAGATGTATAAATACCTCAATGGAAAAATGGACGAAGACATCAGTAAACAATTTACAAGAGAAGAAATCTAAATGCCCCTAAACATGAAAAAAAAAATCCTTCAATGTCAAAGTAATTAAAATAACACAAGTTAAGACAATTACAAAAAGGCAGTTTTTCACTGTCAGTACTAGTTTAAAACATGATCGTCATCATAATTGACAAAGCTCCACTGAAAGAAACACCTCTGTTAACTGCTTGTGGGAGGATAGGTTGGTATAAACTTTCTGGTAAGAAATTTAATAATATTTTATAAAGAGCCATATGATTATACTGTTTGTTATTCCCTTTCTAGGAATCTTTTAAAAGAAACATTTGAAGTATCAAACAGCTATTTATATCAGCAAAAGATTGGAAATATCTTAAATGAAACAACAATAGAATTATAATATAAATACATTATATTTGTGGCATTTTACACCAAGGTTTACACAATTAAGTGATATGTTCAATGAAAAACAAGAAACACAATTAAATACATAGCTCAAATGTATAAACACATATATACACCTGCACAAATAGGTATATTACACATATATACAAATGAAAAAAGTATCAAGAGAAATTTTTGGATTTAATGAAATATTAACAGTGTTTGTCTTTAGTCGAATCAATATTTGTATTTTCCTTTTTCATATATTTCTAAAATGTCTGATTATTTTACAGGTAGCATTTATTTTAAAAATTACCTCTTGAAGGGATGGCTACCCCATTTTCTATGATGTGATTATTATACATTGCATGCCTGTGTCAAAGTATCTCATGTACCCTATAAATATATACACCTACTATGTACCCATAAACATTTAAAAATATTTTTAAATTATATCTTACAATTATAATAGCTGCTATTCATTGAGCCCCCCTATGTGTTGTTAATATGTGAATGCCTACTATTTCCGTATTCTGAGCCTGAATTATACTTTGGACTTGCTAGGTTGACATAAAACCAAAAGTTACTAGTTGGGTTTCCAAATTTATTGGGCTTAGGAATCAGATCCATCTCTAATACCCTCTCTATGCAATTATCAATTTTTAATTCTTATGTTGAGTTCTGTGTACTCAACCCACCTCAGCAGATTTACCTCTAACTTTTGAACCAAGGAACAGCTTTTGCTACTTGTGTAGACTTGGATTTTTCCATCCCACAAACCATGTGTTTTTATATGGGAAAGTTTCTCTTCAATTTCAGCTCTATGATGGACCACGGCAGATGGGACGCTACTGTGGAGTAGACCTGCCCCCTCCAGGGAGTACTACAAGCTCCAAGCTTCAAGTGCTGCTCCTTACAGATGGGGTTGGCCGCCGTGAGAAAGGATTTCAGATGCAGTGGTTTGTTTACGGTAAGCCAGGTGCTGATCTCAGTTGTATTTGCAGTTGCTATTTGGCCAAGAATTTTTTCTTTTTCAGTTCCAAACTTAGAAACAATACCATGAACAAATAATGGAACCCAGGTAGTAATCTCATGCAAGGGTTTAAGAAATATACTTAGATATTGGTGGAACTTGGAGAGTTAAGTCTGTTAGGATTAAGAGAGGAAGTGACATCAAAGTGGAAAGAATTTGGTTAATTGTAGGTGTAGTAATAAATTGCCTTAGATAAAGAAAGAAGCAGAATGAAGTTTCTAGGGATGAAGAGTTGAACCTGGGTATAGCAAGCTAACTGCAAGTTGGGGTGGGAGTATCTCAGGTGCAATGGAATAGAATGAGACTTAAGGCTCACCTTGACGTTAAGCAGAGAAAGGGTAGGGATAGACTAGAAAGAATGAAAGTCAGACAGGGATGGGGAAAAGGAAGGGGTAGGGTTGGCCTGAGAGGAGGAGAATTTGAGCTGCGATGCACAAAGCCAGGGGCATGTGTTGTACTTGTCAAACAGGAAGGGGCACATCTGGATCCCACCTACGAATTGGTGGTTCAGGAAGCAGGTAGGGATCATCATTCCTCTGAAGATGAAAGGTCTTCTTTAACAAGAGATCTGAAATGTCTTCAAATCTCAGGTGGGCCAATCTGCAAGTGGAGAGCCCCAGAGCAGTGGTTCCCAAAATGTGGTCCCTAGAGAGCAGCGTCAGCATTACCTGGAACCTGTTAGAAATTCAAATTCTTGGGCCCCATCCCAGGCCTACAGAATCACAAACTTTGAAGTGGAGCCCAGTAATCTGTGTCTTAACTGGTCTCCCTGGTGATTAAAGTTTGGAAACTACTGAGAGGTGAAGCCGGCTGAGCTTCTGGGTCAGGTGGGGACTTGGAGAACTTTTCTGTCTAGCTAAAGGTTTGTAAATGCACCAATCAGCGCTCTGTGTCTAGCTAAAGGTTTGTAAATGCACCAATCAGCACTCTGTAAAAACCCACCAATCAGCGCTCTGTGTCTAGCTAAAGGTTTGTAAATGTACCAATCAGCGGTCTGTAAAAACGGACCAATCAGTGCTCTGTAAAATGTATGAATCAGTGCTCTGTAAAATGGACCAATCAGTGCTCTGTAAAATGGACCAATCAGCAGGACGTGGGCAGGGCCAAATAAGGGAATAAAAGCTGGCCACCCTAGCCAGCAGCGGCAACCCACTCGGGTCCCCTTCCACACTGTGGAAGCTTTGTTCTTTCACTCTTCACAATGAATCTTGCTGCTGCTCACTCTTTGGGTCCACACTACCTTAATGAGCTGTAGCACTCACTGCGAAGGTCTGCGGCTTCATTCCTGAAGTCAGCGAGACCATGAACCCACCGGAAGGAAAAAACTGTGGACGCATCTGAACATCTGAACAAACAAAATCCGGACACACCATCTTTAAGAACTATAACACTCACCACGAGGGTCCGCAGCTTCATTCTTGAAGTCAGCGAGACCAAGAACCCACTGGAAGGAATAAATTCCGGACACATTTTGGTGACCCAGATGGGACAATCACCAAGCGGTGAGTACCACTGGACCCCTTTCGCTTGCTATTCTGTCCTATTTTTCCTTAGAATTTGGGGGCTATATACCGGGCACCTCTTGGCCAGTTAAAAGTGACTAGCATGGCCGCCAGACTAAAGACACGGGTGTCAGGCTTTCTGGGAAACGGCTCTCTAACAACCCCCAACTCTTCGGAGTTGGGAGCGTTGGTTGGCCTGGAACCAGCTTCCGCTTTTCCTGTACTTCTGGGCTGAGCTGAGGGTTGACAGAGAGGAAAGCCATTCAGCTCTGGGGTCCCAACAACAAGTTGGTTGGCCCTGCAGCCATGAGTAAAACTCTCAAAGTCATGTCACCCAAGCAAGACTTGCCCATCTATCCTATCTATCCTGACCCTTGCCTCCTGGGTCCTAATGCCTGTCAGACAAATTTCCTCTCGCCTCTCTTCTCTGAGGCTAGTCCCGCTTCTAAAAACCACTCCCTGTCTCTGTTGCTTTTCTAGGTTCTCCTGTAAGAATGATTTCTAATATAAACTCCAGGACTCTGTTACCTTCTTTAGGCACCTGGGTTCACCAATCAGAAAGACATAATCTTTGCCCAAAGCCCCATTGTAGGGGGTACTATCTGGAATTTTAGGATCCCTCCTCAGACAAGCAGGCCTATCAATAGCTATTCCTGAAGCTAGGATATGGGTAGCATCAGAAATTGTATCCTTCCTATTCATATAAGTGAGGACAAAAGGCATCACTCTTCCAACTCTGGAGATCCCTTCCCTTCCTCAGGATATGGCCCTCTGCTTCATTTTTGGGGCATAACACCTTTATACGATGCGGGTAAGGTCCCAGTACTAACAAGAGAATGCTTAGGACTCTAACAGGTTTTCAAGAATGTGTCAGTAAGGGCCACTAAATCCAATTTTTCTTGGTCCTCCTTGTGGTCTAGGAGGACAGGCAAGGGTGCAGGTTTTGGAGAATACATTGATAAGGGCCACTAAATCTGACCTTCCTCAGTCCTCCTTGTGGTCTAGGAGGAAAACTAGTGTTTCTGCTGCTGCGTTGGTGAGTGCAACTATTCTGATCAGCAGGGTCCAGGGACTGTTGCGGGTTCTTGGGCAGAGGGAGAAACAAAACAAACCAAAAGCACGGGCAGTTTTGTCTTTCAGATGGGAAACACTCAGGCATCAACAGGCTCACCCTTGAAATGTGTCCTAAGCCATTGGGACCAATTTGACCCGCAAACCCTGAAAAAGAGGTGGCTCATTTTTTTCTGCACTATGGCCTGGCCCCAATATTCTCTCTCTGATGGGGATAAATGGCCACCTGAGGGAAGTATAAATTACAATACTATCCTGCAGCTTGGCCTTTTCTGTAAGAGGGAAGGCAAATGGAGTGAAATACCTTATGTCCAAGCTTTCTTTTCATTGAAGGTGAATACACAACTATGCAAAGCTTGCAATTTACATCCCACAGGAGGACCTTTCAGCTTACCCCCATATCCTAGCCTCCCTATAGCTCCGCTCCCTATTAATGATAAGCCTCCTCTAATCTCCCCCACCCAGAAGGAAATAAGCAAAGAAATCTCCAAGGGACCACAAAAACCCCCGGGATATTGGTTATGTACCCTTCAAGCTGTAGGGGAAGGAGAATTTGGCCCAACCCAGGTACATGTCCCCTTCTCCCTCTCTGATTTAAAGCAGATCAACGCAGACCTGGGGAAGTTTTCAGATGATCCTGATAGGTACATAGATGTCCTACAGGGTCTAGGGCAAACCTTTGATCTCACTTGAAGAGATATCTTGCTATTGTTAGATCAAACCCTGGCCTTTAATGAAAAGAATGTGGCTTTAGCTGCAGCCCAAGAGTTTGGAGATACCTGGTGTCTTAGTGAAGTAAATGATAGGATGACAGCTGAAGAAAGGGACAAATTCTCTACTGGTCAAAAAGCCTTCCCCAGTATGGATCCCCACTGGGACCTCGACTCAGATTATGGGGACTGGAGTTGTAAACATCCAATGACCTGTGCTCTAGAAGGACTAAGGAGAATTAGGAAAAAGCCCATGAATTATTCAATGATGTCCACCATAACTCAGGGAAAGGAAGAAAATCCTTCTGCCTTCCTCAAGTGGCTATGGGAGGCCTTAAGAAAATATACTCCCCTGTCACCTGACTCACTCGAGGGTCAATTGATCCTAAAAGATAAGTTTATTACCCAATCAGCTGCAGATATCAGGAGAGGGCTCCAGAAGCGAGCCCTGGGTCCTGAACAAAATCTGGAGGCATTATTAAACCTGGTAACCTCGGTGTTCTATAATAGGGATCAAGAGGAACAGACCCAAAAGGAAAAGTGAGATCAGAGAAAGGCCACAGCCTTAGTCATGGTCCTCAGACAAACAAACCTTGGTGGTTCAGAAAGGACAAAAAATGGAGCAGGCCAATCACCTGGGAGGGCTTGTTATCAGTGTGGTTTACAAGGACACTTTAAAAAAGATTGTCCAGTGAGAAACAAGCCGCCCCCTCGTCCATGTCCACTATGCTGAGGCAATCACTGGAAGGTGCACTGCCCCTGAGTGCAGTGGTTCTCTGGGCAAGAAGTCCCCAACCAGATGATCCAACAACAGGACTGAGGGTGCCCAGGGCAAGTGCCAGCTCATGTTATGACCCTTATTGAGCCCCGGTTACATTTAACCATTGAGGGCCAGGAAATTGACTTCCTCCTGGACACTGGCATGGCCTTCTCAGTGTTAATCTCTTGTCCTGGATGACTGTCCTCAAGGTTTTACCATCCAAGGAATCCTGGGACATCCTGTAACCAGGTATTTCTCCTACCTCCTCAGTTGTAATTGGGAGACTTTGCTCTTTTCACATGCCTTCTTGTTATGCCTGAAAGTCCCACACCCTTATTAGGGAGGAATATATTAGCCAAAGCTGGAGCTATTATCTACATGAATATGGGGAACAATTTACCCATTTGTTTTCCCCTACTTGAGGAGGGAATCAACCCTGGAGTCTGGACACTGGAAGGACAATTTGGAAGGGTAAAAAATGCCCACCCAGTCCAAATCAGGCTAAAAGACCCCACCACTTTTCCTTATCAAAGGCAATATCCCTCAAGGCCTGAAGCTCATAAAGGATTACAGGATATTGTTAAACATTTAAAAGCTCAAGGCTTAGTAAGGAAATGCAGCAGTCCCTGCAACACCCCAATTCTAGGAGTACAATAATCAAAAGGTCATTGGAGACTAGTGCAGGATCTTGGACTCATCAATGAGGTGGTGGTTCCTCTATGTCCAGTTGTACTGAACCCCTGTACCCTGCTCTCTCAAATGCCAAGGGAGGCAGATTGGTTTGCTGTTCTGGACCTCAAGGATGCCTTCTTCTGTATTCTCCTGCACTCTGACTCCCAGTTTCTCTTTGCCTTTGAGGATACCACAGACCACACGTCCCAACTTACATGGATAGTTGTGCCCCAAGGGTTTAGGGATAGCCTTCATCTGTTTGCTCAGGCACTGGCCCAAGATCTAGGTAACTTCTCAAGTCCAGGCACTCTGGTCCTTCAATATGTGGATGATTTACTTTTGGCTACCTGTTTGGAAGCCTCATCCCAGCAGGCGACTCTAGATCTCTTGAAATTTCTAGCTAATCAAGGGTACAAGGCATCTAGGTCGAAGACCCAGCTTTGCCTACAGCAGGCCAAATATCTAGGCCTAATCTTAGCCAGAGGGACCAGGGCCCTCAGCAAGGAACGAAAGCAGCCTACACTGGATTATGCTCACCCTAAGACATTAAAACAGTTGTGGGGGTTCCTTGGAATCATCGGCTTTTGCTGACTGTGGATCCCCAGATACAAGGAGATAGCCAGGCCCCTCTATACTCTAATCAAGGAGACCCAGAGGGCAAATACTCATCTAGTAGAATGGGAACCAGGGGCAGAAACAGCCTTCAAAACCTTAAAGCAGACCCTAGTAAAAGCTCCAGCTTTAAGCTTTCCCACAGGACAAAACTTTTCTTTATACATCACAGAGAGAGCAGGAATAGCTCTTGGGGTCCTTAGACTCATGGGACAACCCCACAACCAGTGGCATACCTAAGTAAGAAAATTGATATAGTAGCAATAGTCAGAGGCTATCAAAATAATACAAGGAAAGGATCTCACTGTCTGGACTACTCATGATGTAAATGGCATACTAGGTGCCAAAGGAAGTTTATGGCTATCAGACAACCGCCTACTTAGATACCAGGTGCTACTCCTTGAGGGACCAGTGCTTCAGATACGTACATGCACGGCCCTCAACCCTGCCACTTTTCTCCCAGAGGATGGGGAACCAATTGAGCATGACTGCCAACAAATTATAGTCCAGATTTATGCAGCCTGAGATGATCTTTTACAAGTCCCCTTAGCTAATCCTGACCTTAACCTATATACTGATGAAAGTTCATTTGTGGAAAATGGGATACAAAAGGCAGGTTGTGCCATAGTTAGTGATGTAACCATACTGAAGTAAGCCTCTTCCCCCAGGGACCAGCAACTAGTTAGCAGAACTAGTGGCACTTACTCGAGCCTTAGAACTGGGAAAGGGAAAAAGAATAAATGTGTATACAGATAGCAAGTATGCTTATCTAATCCTACATGCCCGTGCTGCAATATGGAAAGAAAGGGAGTTCCTAACCTCTGGGGGATCCCCTATTAAATACCACAAGGAAATCATGGAGTTATTGCACTCAGTGCCAAAACCCAAGGAGGTGGCAGTCTTACACTGCTGAAGCCATCAAAAAGGGGAAGGAGAGAGGAGAACAGCAGCATAAGTGGCTGGCAGAGGCAGGGAAAGACCAGCAGAAAGGAAAGAAAGAGACAGAAAGTCAGACAGAGAGACAGAGAGAGGAAGAGAGAGACAAAGAGGGAGTCAGAGAGAAAGAGAAAGAAAGAGAAGGAGACAGAGAGATAGAAAGTCAGAGAGTGAGAGAGAAGAAGAGACAGAGAGACAGAGAGAGAAAGAGAAAGATAGGAAGTCAAAAGAAGGAGACAGGAAGAGACAGAGAGAAAGTCAGAGAGAGAGAGAGGAAGAGACAGACAAAGTCAGAGAAGGAAAGAGAGGAAGAGACAAAGGAGTCAAAGAGAGAGAAAGGGATAGAAGTAGTAAAGAAAAAACAGTGTACCCTATTCCTTTAAAAGCCAGGGTAAATTTAAAACCTATAATAGATAATTGAAGGTCTTCTCTGTAACTCTGTAACACTCCAATACCACCTTGTTGTCAGTGTAAACAAGGGCATAACCTGAAAGCACTGAGGCCACTGACAACCCATAGCATTCCTATCAAACATCCTTAACCCAGCAAGTTTCCTAACAGGGGATCTAAATCTTAATTACCATACAAAGGTCCCACCAGACATAGGAGGAGCTCCCTTCAGGACAGGATATAGATGGTTCCTCCCAGGTGATTAAGGAAAAAGACACAATGGGTATTCAGGAAACTCTTATGGAAGCAGAGTTAGGAAAATTGCCCAATAATTGGTCTGCTCAAATGTGCAAGTTGTTTTCACTCAGCCAAATCTTAAAGTACTTACAGAATCAGGAAGGAGCCATCTATACCAATTCTAAGTTAATATGGATGGAATGAGGTTTTATTAATAGCAAAGAAAAATTAAAATCCCAAACTTACAAGGTTTTCTACTAACGTAGAGTTTGCTAAAAGTTAACAGTGTAACATGCATTATCCTACTACCACACACTCTCAAAGCATTTCTCAGACAGTTTGCAAGAAATAACAAAATCTGTCCAGTAAGGATAGTAACTACAATCCCAAATAGACTCTTCGGCAGCAGTGACTCTCCAAAACTGCTGAGGCCTAGACCCTCCTCACTGCTGAGAAAGGAGGACTTTGCACCTTCTTTGGGAAAGAGTGTTGCTTTTACACTAACCAGTCAGGGATAGTACGAGATGCCACGCAGCATTTACAGGAAAAAGCTTCTGATATCAGACAATGCCTTTCAAACTCTTATACCAACCTCTGGAGTTGGGCAATATGGCTTCTCCCCTTTCTAGGTCCCATGGCAGCCATCTTGCTATTACTTGCCTTCGGGCCCTGTATTTTTAACCTCCTTGTCAAATTTGTTTCCTCTAGAATCAAGGCCATCAGGCTACAGATGGTCTTACAAATGGAACCCCAAATGAGCTCAACTAACAACTTCTATCAAGGACCCCTGGACCGACCCACTGGCCCTTTCATTAGCCTAAAGAGTTCCCCTCTGGAGGACACTACAACTTCAGGGCCCCTTCTTTGCCCCTATCCAGCGGGAAGTAGCTAGAGTGGTCATCACCCAATTCCCAGCAGCAGTTGGGGTGTCCTGTTTAGAGGGGGGATTAAGAGGTGAAGCCAGCTGAGCTTCTGGGTCAGGTGGGGACTTGGAGAACTTTTCTGTCTAGCTAAAGGTTTGTAAATGCACCAATCAGCGCTCTGTGTCTAGCTAAAGGTTTGTAAATGCACCAATCAGCACTTTGTAAAAACACACCAATCTGCGCTCTGTGTCTAACTAAAGGTTTGTAAACGCACCGATCAGCACTCTGTAAAAATGGACCAATCTGCGCTCTGTAAAATGGACCAATCAGTGCTCTGTAAAATGGACCAATCAGCAGGACGTGGGCAGGGCCAAATAAGGGAATAAAAGCTGGCCACCCGAGCTAGCAGCGGCAACCTGCTCGGGTCCCCTTCCACGCTGTGGAAGCTTTGTTCTCTCACTCTTCACAATAAATCTTGCTGCTGCTCACTCTGGGTTCACACTACCTTTATGAGCTGTAACACTCACTGTGAAGGTTTGCGGCTTCATTCCTGAAGTCAGCAAGACCACGAACCCACCGGGAGGAACAAATAACTCCGCACTACCTTTAAGGGCCGTAACACTCATGGTGAAGGTCTGCAGCTTCACTCCTAAAGTCAGCGAGACCACGAACCCACTGGAAGGACGAAACTGCGGACACATCTGAACATCTGAACAAACTCTGGACACACCATCTTTAAGAACTGTAACACTCACTGTGAGGGTCCGTGGCTTCATTCTTGAAATCAGCGAGACCAAGAACCCACCAGAAGGAATAAATTCCAGACACACTACTGTCTTAGAGTGATCTAGCCCTGGAACATGTAGTGCTTGTGGGTCTCATAGCAGTAGTTCTCAACCATGATGCTAGAGCTCATTGGTGTATTTCAATCAACTGGAAAGAGAAGTGGAGTTCCAAGATTATACCAGGAACCAAGCATAGACATCTAAGCTGTGGCCCTGCTGTCAAAATCAGGGCTGAGCTCTAGCTGAGCACACATGAATGTGTGCAGTGGTTGACTCTTAACATTGTTCACATTCTGGTGCACTCATTATAGGAATGTCAGAGCTACTTATAACTGAATAGCCCTATTATACACTTAGGAGTGCTAGGCGTTCTGAGATTATAAACTGGGCTCTGAGTGTATGTCTGTTAAAATATGTATGGGGCTTTCAGTATTTAAAAATAGTCAGTGGTCATCCACAGAGCTACTTGCAGCTTGAAACGTACATTAGGAATTCCCAAAGTAAATGAGTTGTGATAACTAAGCTTGTAGAAGTTCTGGACCTTCCTCTTCATCAAGTGAGTAGATATTTATATATTTATTTATTTATTTATCAAGATAGGATCTTGCTCTGTCATCCAAACTGGAGTGCAGTGTCCTGGTCATAGCTCACTGGAGCCTTGAGCTCTGAGGCTTAAGTGATTCTCTCACTTCAGCCTCTTGAGTAGCTGAGACTACAGGTGTGTACCACTGCACCTGGCATTTTTTTTTTTTTAGTAGAGTTGAGGTCTTGCTATGTTGCCCAGTCTGATCTTGAACTTCTGAGCTCAAGCAGTCCTCCTGCCTTGGCCTCCCAAAGTGATGGGATTACAGGTGTGAGCCACTGCACCTGGCCCAAGTGGGTAGATTCAACCTAAGTCAACTCATGGATCCGTTAAATGCAGGGATTGGATTGATTCATCTCTATAATACAGATGATCTGTAGTATTCCGTGATTCTGAAACACATGATTCTAACTAGAGACAGTGTGAAAAGAGACAGAAAGGTCAGGAGAATCCTGGGAAATGGCCCAGAATTTCAAGGGCTGGGGCATTCTCCAGAGCATACGTGCTACCCAGATGCTCCTGTGCACATGAACCCTGGGGATCTTGTTGGATAGAGGATGGGGTCTGGGGCAAGGCCCGTGAATCTGCATTTCTAACAAGCTCCCGGGTAATGCTGCTGGTGCTGCTCTATGGACCGCTCTGAGGAACAAGGTGAGAGCAAGTGTTGAGACTGGAGAAATGAGATGGTAGAAAGACAGTATCCCTAGAGACTGGAGAATCCTTCTGAGATGTTGAAAGGGCACATTGTACTGTTTGTTTTAATGACAGTAGGATAATAGCAAGATCTAAAGCAGAGAGAACTTTCCCCCAGGGACAGAAGTGTAGAAGGTAAGAAATGTTAACCAGGAAGCCTGGGCTCAGGGCCCTGGAGAGTGTTCTCAGTCCTAGATGCACCATTGGAATTGCCTGGGAGTTTTAAAAAGTGCCCATGCCTGGGTTCCAATATCCAGAGACAGGATTCAGTTGGTCTGCAGTGGGGCCCTGACTATTGCTAATTTCTAAATGCTCCTTAAGTGATTCATCCGTACAGTCAGGATGGAGAGTTTGGGAGGGCAGTGATTTTGCTGATTACTTTCTCCTAAGTGGCTGCTTCCTCTCCCCTCCAGGCTGTTCTAGCCTTACTAGCCCAAGGCCACTCTAAGGAGCTTGATTGAACGGTCATGGCAGGCTGTGCCCAGATTACTGTATCAATGGGCTCTTCCAGCCAATGTGCTGAATATTCTGGTGAAATCTCTGAGTTTTATGTTGGGAACATTTTTTTCTACCAGTTCTACTTGGAATCTGTCTTCCTTTGGGAGAGTCAAAGGCACCCTCTGTCTATTCTGCTTTCCTGTTTACTATTTCAAAACTTTCTCCCAGTTGCTGGAAACTTGGAGCCAGAGTTATGCAACAAAATGTTGCCAGCTGGGACCAGAACCGAAATATAAAATTGTTTTTTAACTCTGTGCTGCTCACAATATGTAAATTATACTTGGGAGGAAACTTCTGGAAAGGAATTTTTAGTCATTTAGATCTGTGCAAAATTGACTATCATATTCTACAGGTATGCAATGCCACAGGTACACAGAGTTCAATACTCTGCATCTGAAGTAGGTCTTTAGTTTGAGATAACCTGAGAAGGGGAGCCCACAGAGAGGGCGAGCTCTTCCATGGGAGAGGTCCCGCCATTTTTGATCCATTGGAGTTAAATGCAAGACGTAAATCATGATGTATCATTCACGCATTTGTTCATTCCACAGACACTAAGGATGTCTTTTGTGCCAGGTACTGTGCTGAGACGGGGGACACAGAGTGACTCAGACCAGCAGGCCTGGTTTCTACTCTACAGAGCTAGGCTAGGTGGGAGAAGCAGACATCACGCAAAAACACACTTAAATAAATAGAAAATCAAAACCATGAGTAGTGCCAAGCGGGCACACACAGGGCATCTGACTTGGGCCCAGCAGGAGGTCAGGGATGATCTCCACGCAAATGAGACCTCTGAACCAAAACCTAAAAAATAAGCAGGAGTTAACTAGGCAAGCAGGATAAGGAAAAGGATTCCAGGTAGAAGAAAGACCCTGTGATAGGAGGGAGTGGGGAGAGCCCGAGGGACCTGAGAAGTCAAGAGGATGGAACTGAGTCGAAGAGAAACAGCGCTGCCAAGGTGGCTGCAGAGCTAAGCACATAATGTGGCTAAGCGCGCACACACACACACACACACACACACACACACACACGAGCAGGGATTCTGCAGCCATGGGGCCAAAATAAATTTAAAAATTACTCTCAATGCTCAAGACACACACACACACCACACACACACACACACACGGGGAGGGACTCTACAGCCACAGGACTAAATAAATGTAAAAATTACTCTCAGTGCTCAAGAGACACACCACACACACACACACACACACACACACACCACACACGGGCAGGGACTCTACAGCCATGGGGCTAAATAAATGTAAAAATTACTCTCAATGCTCAAGTGTAATTGTAATTTTTTTTTTGAGACGAGGTGTCATTCTATTTCCCAGGCTAGAGTGCAGTGGCGCAATCTCAGCTCACTGCAGCCTCAGCCTTTTGATAAGGTGATCCTCCCACCTCATCCTCTTGAGTAGCTGGGACTACAGGGGTGCACCACTTCACCCAGTTAACTTTTGTATTTTTTGTAGAGATAGGGTTTCTCTGTTTTCCAGGCTGGTCTCAAACTCCTGAGCTAAGCAATTTGCTTGCTTCGGCCTCTCAAAATGCTGGGATTACAGGCATGAGCCACTGAGCTGGTCATAACATTCTTAAATGCATTTGTGTGAGTGTGTGTAACATATCAGAAGGAAAATAATTAGAAAGGCTTCTCCTTGCACAGCCCCGCAAGGGATGTTCTCAGAATCAGGTGGAGGGCTCAGGACAGCCCCGCTAACGCTGGTCCTGGAGTTGCTCTTCGTGCCCTGGCCAGGTCAAGTGGCTTTAAACTCCTAGCCTCTTTTCCTCAGAATCCTATCACCTTGCAATCCCTTCCCCCTGCCCCACCCTCCCCACTGGACTCTTTTCTAAACTGTGCAGTACGATCTCCAAACACCAAGCAGAGAGTTCAAACTTGGCAGCGACATCATTTCCTGAGCACTGCTTCTGAGGAAGAGTTCCTACACACTTCATTCATTTCCCCAGTTCATACACAAACGCATTTACAAAATATGCTTCTTTGTGAACGACACAAACCTTCTATTGGCTTTAAGAAAACGGATCTACAACGAGGCTTTATCTGTGGGCTCTTTCTGAACATGGCCATGCAGACATGAGACAAAGTAACATTGCAGGGCCTTTTATGCGGGTCCTCAAAGAGGGCCCCACCCTGGAAATAAAGAAATGGCCACAGTTGCCCTGTCTCTAATCGGTTCATGGTATTCAGCCTTGACAGCATTGTCCAGCGGCTGAATTCAGCCTTGGAGGCCTCCATCTGGGTTGCAGGGGGAGGGGGTGGGGGATAGGGGTGGGGAATACAGAAGTTTCCGCAGGCTGTGTGAAAAGTGGCCTCCCAACCAGCTGCACAGACCCCCTCGCCTCTTCTGGTCGTTGCTCCCAGAAGCCTTCTTTCACTTAGTGATGGAATCCAGCATACAAACAAGGTCAAGGAGCTTTGTGAGCGAGAGAGTGACATTTGCAAAGGGAGCGAACCCTTCAGCTGGGAGCTTGCAGGAGCAGGGCTAAGGGGCATGTGATCAGGAGGTGATGTCACCCAGGATTTCCACAAAGGAAAAAGTGGCCTTTTCTTTGGGAAGATAGATGACATCAGCCTCTCAAATGGGGGCTGGGTCCATTTTATCTTCCTTTTAGCTATTAAGGAGATTTCTCAAGCCTTGAGAAGTTTCAGAAATTAGAAGAGAACATTTTAAAAACCGTGTCAACATCTTTTATGACTGGCTCGGTTTGGATGTAAGCCAGTGCCTTCTTGACTACCTGTGGGCATGAGGCACTGTACCAAAGGGCTTTTAAAAAACATCTTTAGAGCACTGGCAGAAAACCGCCATGAGGTCGGCAGTGTTTCTCTTAAAGTTAGATCTTTGCTCCAGGTCTCTTTCTCTCGAGTGGTCTTTCATTAGCCTTTGTTTATCACTGGTCTTTCGGGGGAATTCCTTCTCATTCAAAAATTTTATTCCTTTTGTGACTTAGAGTACATGTAGTACGATTTCTGGGAGGTTCACCCTTTAAAGACAAAGGTTTTATCTTTTGTAATTCTGTTATCCACTTGTCTTGTGTGAGAGAAAATGCCTTAGGGTGTGAGGGTGAGTAAGCTGGGCTCTAGGAGAAGATCTGCTGGACCCAGCCTATAATGAACAGGCAGCTACAACTGTGAATCATGTTAATTACATGATTATTTACATGTCAATTACACATAACCTCTGCCAGCAGATATTTTTTGAGAAGAAGTTTTTCATTCATTCAACCAACCATCCAGCACATATTTTGGGCTTGTTGTCTAAATATAGAGAGTATTAATTTGCTTGGGCTGTCGTAACAAAAATGCCACAGATTGGGAGGCTTAAGCAGCAGAAGTGTGCTGTCTCCTGGAGGCTGGAAGTCCAAGGTCAAGGTGTCGGCAGGGTTGGTTTCTCCTGAGGCCTCTCTCCTTGGCTTGCGGATGCTGCCTTTTCCCTGTGTCCTCACATGGTGTTTTCTCTGTGTGTGTTCATCCTGATAGCTCTGTGTGTCCAAATTTGCTCCTTATAAGGACACCAGTCAGATTGGATTACAGTCCATTCAGCTTCATTTTAACTTAATTGCCTCTTTTTAAAGGCCCTATCCCCGAGGACAGTCACATTCTGAGGTCTGGGAGTTAGAACTTCAACATATGAATTTTGGCAGAGATACAATTCAGCCCATACCAGAAAGGAAGGAGATCACATTCTTGACTTTGGGGAGTTAGTCATAGAGTAGGCAAGGCAGGTAAACCAAGTGTAGAAATATATACATAATCCAGGACGCCATGGGAACACAGAAAAAAATAGCTAGGACAGCCTGCGGAAGTTCAAAGAGACCTCCAGGCAGCTTTGACATTTGAACTGAGTTTTAAAGAATGGGCAAGAATTGATCAGACAAATATCTGGGAGAGGAAGGCTTTTCTAAGTAGAAGCAGCAAGGTGTGAGGGCACAAAAGTTTTGCAAAGAGCAAGTCCTTCAGCTAGACCACACATTCTCTGCATTCTCCATTGGGGCAGTATCAACTCCAAGGAGGTAAAATTGGCTCTTGGTAGGGGGATTAAGAAATTCTTACTCTTTAATGTATAAAGCATAAAGATATACAGTACATAACAGATATGCAATATACTTGTGGTATTAAATTTTCATGGTTGAGAATTTGGAAAAAAATGTCCGAACAATCTCCTTAGGGGGCTGATAATGAACAAAAGGTGAGAAACACTAGGGAAAGGGAGTGATAGAAGTTGACGCAGGACACGTTATCAGAAACCAACTGATAGGAAACATCACAAGAATTTGGATTTTATCCTGCCATCAGGGAAAGACCACCAATGGATTTTTAAGTGGGAAATTTAGTGATGCAAACAGAAGTACACTTTAGAATAAGAGTTCTGGCAAGTAGAGGGATGCCCAAGAAGAGGAAGAGACTGAGAGTTTGGTGACTAGTCAGAGCAGGGAGAAAGGAAATGAGTAGTGGGTGAGGCAGCGTATTAAAGAGCTGTTTAGGGCTGGGTGCAGTGGCTCACACCTATAATCCCAGCACTTCGGGAGGCCAAGGCAGGTGGACCATGAGGTCAGGAGTTTGAGACTGGCCTGGCCCACCCCATCTCTACTAAAAATTCAAAAATTAGCCAGCTGTGGTGGTGCGTGCCTGTAATCCTAGCTACTCAGGAGGCTGAGGCAGGAGAATAGCTTGAAACTGGGAGGCAGAGGTTGCAGTGAGCCAAGATGGCACCACTGCGCTCCAGCCTGGGCAATAGAGTGAGATTCTGCTAAAAAAAAAAAAAAAGAGCTATTTAGAAGGTAGGATGGGCAGATCTGATGGTGGAGTAGATGTGTGTCAATCTGGGAGACAGAAGAAGGAATCATGGATAGCTCCCGTTTTCCTGCGGTGTATGATTTGGTGCATGGTGGTGCCATTATTCATAGATAGGAAATCCCAGATAAAGACCATGTTTGGGGGAAAATTGTGAGCTTCTATTTGAACATGCTGAATTTGAGATGTTCAGGGGATGTATCCTTTCAGCAATTGCTGGTGTCAGTATAAAAATTAGGTGAGGTTTTGGGCCAGAGAAAGAGACTTTGGAATAAACTACATGTTGGTGAATTTGGAGTTGTGAGCATGATGAAATATATATCCAAAACTGTGCAAGGTATTTTTAGGCATATGAAAGAAATACCACGTTAGTCTTTGTCTTCAAGCTGAGCATGATCAGTTAGGAAGCAGGTGTAGAAAACTAACAGAAGTGCTGAACTGTGAGGTGCCTATTGCAAGGCTAGTAAGGAGGCTGGAAGTCATTGGGGAAAATCTTCACGGACTCTGTGAGATTTTAGAGCCCTTGAAGAATGATCAGGACAAGAAATGACAGATGGTGCCTGGATAAGCATGAGCCAAGAAAGAGAGAGAAACAAGCCTGATGTAATGAAGACAGTGGGATATGAGGCTTCGTAGACCTCCTGGGCTAGATTCTTTAGAATTCTCAAAGCCAGCTAGACTAGTGTGAACTTAACGTAGTAAGGAAAAGGGAACCACTGTTGTTTTAGACAATGGAGTGGGAAATGTCAAGGGAGGAGATTACAACTGGAGACATCATAGATCACAGTGACAGAGGCAACCCCAGGGGACCATTCTGGGTCCTGGTTACTAAGAGCGAGGAATAGCGGTCTGCAGAGACAAGACAACTGATGATCCAAGGTGAGTAACATTCTGATGAATCCTCAGCAAAGACACTCAAGGGCTATGTGGCCAGTGCTGTGATAAATCCTGGCACAGAAAATATTAGATCAATTGCCGCATTCTCTCTTCCTAATAATTTCTTCAAAGTTATAACTTTGAAATACAGACTCATGATTACCTAAGTTTTCCAGTTTGAAAATGATTTTAGGGCTCTTTTTTGTTATTGAACAAAAAACTTTTGTTGAACGAAAAAATTTTATTGAACAAAAAATGTTCAATTTAAAATTTTTATTATTGTGTGTCCTTGCTGCCACGTGGTGAAAAAATTCACAACAATCTGGAAGTATGATGTTGGCAATGAAAGTGATTTATGAATTGTGGTCAGCAAAGATTCTAGCGCAGGTTCACAGGGCTGGGCTGTGAATCACACTGTCTGGTTCTAATCTCAGGCGCAGACCTTCTCTCCGTTGGTAATGGAATTGCTTTCACAGTGTCGCTTCCTGCTAGGCTGTGATAGACATAATGTCACACAGAGAGAAATGGTAAAGCACCCATCCATCCGCCTCCAAAGTAACCTCAAGAATTTGATGTCAGATAAGGAAATCCTGCTTGGTTTTGGTAGAAATTTAAGTAAAAGAGAAGCTTTTAAAAACAACTAGCTCTGTTTAAGTTAAGAGATATTTCCCTAAATGCTGACTATTCTTTCTCTCACATTTATACATGCTATATCCCATCCTGTTTATGATGGCTTTTTCAGCCTATTTGATATTTTGGGCTTTTGTCTTTGTGATACTCTTAAAATATTTTTAAGCATGGAGACTGGAAATGAGTTCCTTCTTAGTGTGGAACCAAAGCACAGGTTTCTGCATCGTGATACTGAGTCTGATTTGTATTTATGACAAATTTTCACTTATATCTTTTCTGCAAAGAAATTCTTAATGGACGATGCTCATTTCTAAGAAATCTGTTTCTAAATAACTCCTTGTTGTAAAGTTGGGATAGTGACTAAGAAAATCCCACAGCTCTTTTGGCCTTGACTTCAGAGTTTCTCCAGCAAGGTCCCAATGATCAGAGGCAGCATTAAAGCTGTGCATATGCAGACCTTTCAGAATGAGTGGAAAAGCTCACTCCTGACATTTCTGCCTCCTTGACGACAGCAGTAAATACACATCCACACAGTTGACCTTCATCTCATGTTGGCTCTGAGTCTCTTCACCAGCAAGGGCCTCTCAGGAGTCTCGCCTCCCCATTCCCATGTCGCCACTGTTTGAAAAAGTTGGAGTTCTATTTCTATTGCCACTCTTTGAAACAGTTATAAAAAGAAAAAAAAATAACCCTCAAACCACCATGACCTTCCCAAATCACAGATTGCACAATTTGTAATAACAGTCCTTGAGATCTGGGCCAAAGAAAGGGCTTTCTCGAAACTTCTGTTTGTGTTCTGGTTCCCTGGCAACAATATCCCCAATAGAGGAATGCATGTACTTTGCAGGGGATTCCACACTTTTTCGTATGACACAAAAACCAAAACCACACTTTTTTTTTTCAGTTTCAAATATCATAGCAGCCAAAAATGAAGTGTAGAAACTTGAGTTCTAAGCCAACTCAGAACAAATGTGACGTTCAGCGTAGAACCTGAATTTTTGTCCCCAGAGGTTTCTCTTTTCGACCATTGACTTAAATGTTGCCATATTTGTTTCAAACATTACATATCCAAGGACTTGTTTTGTGTGAATGCACTGTGTACTCAGAGGAACAGAGGAAGCAGTGCCAGGTGGCAGCAGCATTGTCTCACAAACAGAACAAATCTGGTGGAGGACAGTAACTACCACTTATAAGAGTTAGTAGAATTTGATAATCTGTAGATCAGTAATGACAATAATATACTCTGTCCCTGATTTTTTTCTCCTCCTAGTTCCACAGGCTACTCAAATATAGACTATTTTGACCCTGTGTACCAAAATAATGAAATTGAAGGAATGCAGGATAAATAATATAGATTTTACCACCTAAATGTAATCTTAAATTTGTCTGAAGATATTATGATAAAAATAAACTATCTTGCCATGTAAAGAGTGAATGAAAATATGATTAAACGCTTAGTGCATTGGTTTAATTGACATCTCATTCACTATTACTGTTGTTGATGTTATCATTTTAAAACATGACTCAACATGTGTAATTTAAAAATATGATCTTGAGAAGTGAAGCCAGCTGGACTTCCTGGGTCCAGTGGGGACTCGGAGAACTTTTCTGTCTAGCTTGAAGCATTGTAAATGCGCCAGTCGGCGCTCTGTGGCTAGCTAAAAGTTTGTAAATGCACCAATCAGCACTCTGTAAAAACAGACCAATCAGCACCCTGTAAAACGGACCAATCAGCACTCTGTAAAGTGGACCAACCAGCGCTCTGTAAAATGGACCAATCAGCAGGATGTGGGCGGGGCCAAATAAGGGAATAAAAGCTGGCCTCCTGCGCACCAGTGGCAATCCACTGGGGTTGCCCTGCACGCTGTGGAAGCTTTGTTCTTTTGCTCTTCACAATAAATCTTGCTGCTGCTCACTCTTTGGGTCCGCACTACGTTTATGAGCTGTAACACTCACTCCAAAGGTCTCCACCTTCACTCCTGAAGCCAGCGAGACCAGAAACCCACCGGGAAGAATGAACAACTCTGCACACACCACCTTTAAGAGCTGTAACACTCACTGTGAAGGTCTGCAGCTTGACACCTGAAGTCAGCAAGATCACGAACGCACCAGAAGGAAGAAACTCCGGACACATCTGAACATTTGAAGGAGCAAACTCCGGACACACCATCTTTAAGAACTGTAACACTCACTGTTCAGGTCCGTGGCTTCATTCTTGAAGTCAGCGAGACCAAGAACCCACCGGAAGAAACCAATTCCGAACACAATCTCATGTCTCATCCCAATAATTTTCTTAAATGAGCATTATCATTCCCTTATTATGGATGAGAAAACTGAGGAAGAAGCCTGAGACAAGTTAAGTGATGTGTCCAAACTTACACATCCACTAAGCAATGGAATCAGAACACAAAACTCAGTGTGTGATGTCAAACTCAAAGGCCGTGCAATAAGTAGCACGATGGTGCCTGAAAGCAAATATTTTTTCCCCACAGCTTTTCATTGCAAAAAAAGGTCAAATGATATTGCAATGCAAAGAAGGTCAGAGCTTATAGTAGGTAATTTTATAAATTCCCGTAATAATAAATGTTTTTAAAAAGATGTGTGCAATCTTACCCAAGTAAATGGTGATCCAGTTTCAAAGGCTTCCCACTAAGTGACACAATTCATTCTTTCTTTAGGTTCAAGTAGCAATAATATGTGGGTTGGGGCGGAGGGGCGCATTGCTAGGCAAAAGACAAGTTCGAAATAGCTGATGTTATTTGCAATCCTTAAACACAATTTCTGCTTTATTACTCATTTATAAAGTGCTGTTCTGGAGCTGCTATATATGTTGCTGATGGAATCCACCGATCTGGGAGAAACCACGGAGATCATCTGGTCAGTTGCCAAGGTTTAGTTATACAAACTCGCTTACAAGAGGGAGAAGTTATATTAAAGTGAAGAGTAAAAGGGTAGCTGCTCCCAGAACAACTTGGCCGGGCTAGAGTGGACCATGGGAATGGGGTGGAGCATGTGAGGATTTGGGTAATTTAGTTGTTTTTCTTCCCCTAAGCTAAGGACCCAGGCTGGCTGGATGCAGGATTTGCCCTGCGAGGGGCCTGCAGCATGGGATGTTGTAATCAGAGAAAACAACCTTGAGGCTCAGATTTGGACAGAGTTTAAAGGGTCACAGAACACCACTGCCATGGACGTGGTGCTGCCCACCTGTGTCCATTTCTCCGGGTGGAGTCCTCTCCCTGCAGAGGGAAGGTTAGAGGTTGGAGGAGGTGAGGGAAGGAATCAGGGAGAGGCCTGCAATGTAGGTCCCTGGAGGCTCTTTGAGCTTTTCCCTGCAAGAGCCCTGTGTACCAAAATAATGAAATTGAAGGAATGCAGGTTTGAATAATATTTCTAAATAGAAGTATGACTGTTGAACTTGGAAACTGCCTACAGAGAACATGTTTTCTCTGTCTTTGTTTGTTTGAGGGATTTCATAAAGAAGCTTTCAGTAGCCTTAGGCATGACTGCTTATTTCAGGGAAGGTTAGTACAGTTATCTTAGTCTCATTTCTTTCCTTGTACCTTTTTATACTAAACTTTGTTTAGAAGTCTTCAATCATTTCAAAAACATCCAAGGAGAGGGAAAAGAGATTGATCAAATGATTGATTTCTCCTGAAGAATTGTAAGCAAGGGATTTCTACTGGGAAACCATTTTTTAATTTGATTGAAATTAGTAGCTTAAAAGGAAACTGATAAAGTTAATCAAAGTGAAAAGATGACAAGATTGGCTAACTTCTCTAGGTTAAGACGAAAGATAGTATCCTTTTGTATACAGGAAATTAAAATTTATATTACACAGAAACTCCAAAATTATGGCTTCTTTGGATTTCTTTCTCTTTGATGATGTACTAAAGGGAAACACATCAGTATTTAGATCTAGGCCATCTTAGATAGTCAGATGGCTATGACAGTCTTAACTTTGAGTATTTATATGACATCTTGAATAGGAATGTAAAGGTCATTATATAGCGGTCCACAGCATTGATTTCTAAGCTTCTTGTATCTGTTTTCCAAGTCACTGACTTCATGCAATAACTTATTCTTTCACTGTTTTTTATTGTATCTCTACCATTGAAACCCGATGCTCTACTTTATATCCACTGCTGTATAGAAATTAGTCGAATAAAATGGATTATCACAAAATATGGGGCAAGGATGAAGTCTCCATGGAACATGAAACTTTCTAAACGTTCATTGACTCTCCAACACTAAAAATCGTTATGACTTAACTCCCTGGTTCTTGGGTTTACCTGTTTCTTCCTGATGTGATACCTGGCCCTGTATTTGCTGCTAGTTTTCTCAACAATAGACCTTTTCTGTTTTCATGAAAATCTTACCCTTGACCAACCATCCTCTAAACCTCAAGATGACAAATAGGAAGTAATAATTACAAGATGGAATACAGAAAGTTTACAAATGTGCACTCCTTGAATACCACACAAATAGTTGTTACCATTTTGTACCTACCTGGGAGTTTGGCCACCTCAATTATCAGGGAAAGAATGAGGATACATTAGCTTCTTAGGGCTACTGTAACTAAGTACCACAAACTGGGTGGCATGGGACAACAGAAATTTGTTCTCTTTATTCTGGAGGCTGGAATTCCAAAGTCAAGGTGTTGGCAGGGTCATCCCTCTGACGGCTCTAGGGAAGACCCTTCCTTGCTGCTTCTAGCTTCTGTTGATTGATGGCTGTCTTTGGCTTTCTAAGCCTTGTAGATGCATAACTCCAATTTCTGCCTCTATCCACACATGACCTTCTTCCTTCTTGGTGTCTGGGACCAAATTTCCCTCTTCGTATAAGGATACCAAGAATATTGGATTTCAGTTCCACCCCAATCCAGTATGATCTCATTTTAACTTGACTGCATCTGCCAAGGCCCTTTCCTCCAAAAAGGTCACAGTCACAGGTTCCTGGTAGGCATAAGTCTCGGGGGACAGTGTTCAACCCAATACAGGGACAACTCTCTCCTCTCCTGGAGTCACGATGTTTTGTCCTCTTCTTCCTTTTCACTCTCTTCTTTCTTCCTTCTTTTTTCTCAAGGAAATTTTATGTTCCTTGGCCTTTATATTACTTGATTTTCTTCTTTGATTTCATCTCGTGATCACTCCAGTTTGTGTCCCCTTCCTCACAGAATACATGCTATCTGACTAAATCCCTCAGAAAAATCCATCTGCACATGCTTCATGTCCTTATGAATTTGAGGAGCTCCACCCTTGGCCTTGTGTTCAGAGAGGACTAGTGACCCTAGTAGGACAGATGCCTATCACTTGGCCACATACCTGTGAAATGTTGGGGAATTAACTGGTAACATCAAACCAGGAATTACTGACTTTTTGTGGTTCTCATTACATGCCAGTCACCTTTGGACAACTTTGGCCATTTTAAGGAGCACATATTCCTGTCCACTTCCCCACCCTCCCTGACCTGAAAGTTTCTGTTCAAAATCCTTGTAATTACGTTTTTTTATGTTTCATAGATGTATCGGAAGTGAGGCCTGTATACTCACTCCAGGAAATAGTTCACTTTGCCTTGGGTTGGGCCTTCCCCAGATTCTGAGCTCTTAGTTACCAATTCACATCACACCTGCCTTACCAAAAGGGTCCTTGCTGGCAGTTTCTCTTCTGTGTCCTCCCTTCCTCCACAAGCTGCCTTTTTTTTTTTTTTTTTAGATGGAGTCTCACTCTGTTGCCAGGCTGGAGTGCAGTGGTGTGATCTCAGCTCACTGCAACCTCCACTTCTTGGGTTCAAGTGATTCTCCTGCCTCAGCCTCCTGAGTAGCTGGGACTACAGGTGCCTGCCACCACGCCCAGCTAATTTTTTATATTTTTAATAGAGACAGGGTTTCACCATGTTTGCCAGGATGGTCTCGATCTCCAGACCTTGTGATCGGCCTGCCTTTGCCTCCCTAAGTGCTGGGATTACAGGCATGAGCCACTGCGCCCAGCCCACAAGCCGCCTTTTTACACAATGAAGGCAAACTGGCCTTGCCAATGAAGCACATCTCAAGGTCTTATAGAGCAGAAAGAGTTTTTATTGTTAAGTTATAGAAAAAAAGCTATTAAAATATAAATTGAGCATTTTAATGAAGCACGTGAACATCCTCACTAATTACTTTTAAAATTTAATTCTCTTTCACTGTGCCTTGGCTTTTGGCTTCGTTTTAACAGCAACTGTTGATTTCCCAGGCATTTCCTTTAGGAATGAAGGGATAAGGGTGGGAGGGTGTCGGTGATGAATCACTTCTCTCTTCCTTTTCTGCCATCCTCTTTGGGCTTTAGCCATGTGTATTTCAAGATGTTATTCCTCCTGATGCCATCAGTTTATGGCATATAGTTTCAGGAAAATGCCAGCCAGCAAAGCGCTGACTGCATTTGAGCAGTCGCCGGGCAATACAGCAGTTACTTTTTAAATTTTGTGCCTTGGATTCCATTTAGCTGTTTCATTACTGGTTTGCTTTTATTAAAGCTCTTATTAAAAACACACAGATACGAACTTAAAGATAGTACCTACATAGGAGATTATTATTAAATGTTTCAGTACTGGAATTTTATAACTCATGGCTTGTTTTGGACAAAAACCAAAACAATATTAGTGAAGTTCTTTTATGAAGGTATTTTAAGTTATCTACACAAGTAAGCAGGTTTAGCAACAGCTTGTAACTCTTGGTTGTTATGAGTTCAGCAGATCAATGTGCTTCCTGCAGATAAAGCAAGCACTTCCTTTCGGCAGATGAGTGAGAGTTTGGAGGAAAATCAAGGCAAACAGATGATCAGTCACCAGCTCTAAAACTTTTATAAAGATTAACTCTTTAAAACTGAAAAACATAGGCTTCTCTTCAGGGCATTATTTTATTCCAGTTCAGCTGATGTCTAATGATGTATTCTGTTAGATTTTGCCTCAAAGTCAATTAAAAGATTTTTGCTTTGTTTACGTTTTCCAGGTTGCTATGGTGATTGTCTTCAGTGGAGGGACAGGACAGTAATGAGGGCAGCATTCAACATTGTTAGTTCCGTGCCTTTGAGCTGAAGTTCTCGGCAAGGCATGGGGGAGAGAGAACACAGAAGTGGAGGTCAGGATCGGGGAGGGTGGGTGTCACAATAGGGTTTTGTACCCACATCTGCCATTCACTAAGTGATATGAGCATGTTCCACAGCTTTCTTGAACCTCACTTTGCTCACCTCTACAATGGGCCTGACATCATTGTTACCTGCCTCCCGTTGTCATGATTAATTTCAAATAAAATAATGCATTTCAAATAAAAATAATTCAAATAAAATAAAAGCACTTGAGAACTGAACTACCATAAAAATATGGATTGTCTTTTAAAAAATTTTTGTGCACCTTAATGAAAAACCAATTTCTTACCTCTTCTCTAGCTATTCATGATAGCTTTTTAACCAGTAATTCCTCTTCTAGCTCCAAGTCTTTGTCTCAAATCTGGGGATAAAGTCTTGTGAGGATACAAAACACGGCCAGGTGTGGTGGCTCATACCTGTAATCCCAGCACTTTGGGAGGGAAAGGTGGATCACTTGAGCCTAGGAGTTCAAGACCAGCCTGGGCAATATAGCAAGATCCTGTTTCAAAAGAAAAGAGTAAAAAAAAAATGTAAAGATAGAATACACAGCATGTGTGAAAGGATTATGATATGCACAACATTTAGCTAAAAACTTTGGATTGTTTCATTCATTCTATGTAACAACCCTATGAAGTAAGTATTCATACAGCTATAGATGAAAGAAAGGTTAGATTACTTACCTAGGAACTATCACAGCCAGTTTAGGAACCCATTTGTCTGAACTACAGCCCATGCTTCCTCTGTTACACTATAATGTTTCCAAAAGTTTTGCAATCTAACATGCCAATTAAGCAGTTCTAAAATCGTGTCTACTCCATGAAAACTTTCTCTTACCAAAGTGACAAAGAGCCACTGTGTCTATTTCTCTCAAAACTCTTTATTCCTCATGTCACTGTTCCTTTCTTGGTTGGTATTTTCATCTTTTTCATTTTTGAGACGGGGTCTTGCTCTGTCGCCCAGGCTGGAGAGCAGTGCTGTGATCTCGGCTCAATGCGACTTCCACCTCCTGGGTTCAAGCAATTCTCCTGCCTCAGTCTCCTGAATAGTTGAGATTACAGGCGCATACCACCACGCCCAGCTAATTTTTGCATTTTTAGTAGAGACAGGGTTTCACCATGTTGGGACAGGCTGGTCTCGAACTCATGACCTCAGGTGATCTGCCCACCTTGGTCTCCTAAAGTGTTGGGATTACAGGTGTGAACTACCACGCCTGGCTGGTATTTTCATCTTTTAAATTATCTTCTTTTATCTTCTTTTGAAAGGCTTTTCTAAATCATTGTCATCTATTTTAGATTATGAATGACCGGTGTTAAAAACTTCTGTATTTCTTTTACATTTTATTGTTCATTCAACCAGACAGGTAACCGGATGACGACAAGGATGTTGGTGGTCTAAACATCCCTGCCTGTGTTATTTCCTGATGGGTATTGGTTTATATAACTTCTTTCCTCTCCAGACTTGTGTATTCTCCATCTCTTTTTCCCTTCCCTGTTTGTTATCCCTTTGTCATGCATCCAGAGTCGCAAATATGACTGGTAATGGCAGGATGAGTTATTTATTCTTATTTGTAACTTACCAGTGATTAACATGTAAAGGATAGAATAGTATTCAGGTTGTTTTCTTCAAATAAAAACTTATTGAAATTACTCTTAGTAAACTGAAGGAGAAGCAAAAAGGGTTTAATAACTTGCAAGAAGACATGTGGGCAATAACACTTTTTATGTCTATAAATGTCTTTCTTTTTTTCAAGAGATATTAAATATGCTTGGCTTCTATAGCACTGCTTGTATTATGGGCAGATGCTCAATAAACACTTATGAGTGAATGAAGGAATAAATAAATGGAATTGGGAAGCTATTTTACCTCTTTCAAATTTTAGAAATACGAAGACAGTTAAGTTTCTACCGTAATTACCAGAATTACAACGTGCAGGTTTGTTACATATGTATGCATATGCCATGTTGGTGTGCTGCACCCTCCTAGTACTGTATAATTTTGACCAGAAAGTACCACTAAATTAATCTATCCTATTTTGCATTTGCTGTGAACTTTTAATTCAAATGTTTCCTTTTGATATGTTAATCCTCAGAGGTAGTGAGAGCATGAAGGAGAAAAAGAAAACTTCAGAGATTTCAAGCCCTAACTGTTTCTTTCCCTCTTTCTCATGATCATACAATATTTTTCCTGACAGAGTATCACTTATAAAATTGAAATTTCTCAGCTGGGCATGGTGGCTCACACCTGTAATCCCAGCACTTTGGGAGGCCAAGGCGGGTGGATCACCTAAGGTCAGGAGTTCGAGACAAGCCTGGCCAACATGGTGATGAAACCCCATCTCTACTAAAAAAAAAAAAAGAAAAGAAAAAGAAATTTTTCTTTAAGAAGCATACATATATGTGCTATTAACAAGATATACTTAAAAGTAAAATTTTGCTCTTTTTATTAAAGAAAACCTTGTGGATTATTTGCTTTAAATACTAGGAAAAAAGACATTGTGGGTCCATATAACTATACTGTAATTTTTTTAAAGCAATACTGAATGCCCCGAATCTGTATTACCATTCCAGTTTACAGCGACAATTTAAGGGTATTAGTATCCTGTTATTTGCGAAGGAATTCACAAGGAAATGTAAAACAATTGGAAAAGACAATGGAAAAATGTTACACAGAGTTTTATGTGAATCAACTAAGATAAAAAAATTGAATCAGATTGGCTGATGAACGAATGCTAAATAAAAATGCAGAAATGAGCTATCTAAACTTTCATTTCCTTCTTATCTTTTATATCATGTGGCCATAAAGTTATTTTCCTCTAGATTTTTTCCATTGGATAATTTATTTGATACTACTGATAGAAAGAACCATCTGAGCTGAAAATGCAAGTTGAGAAAAAAATTTCAGTAACAGGCTTTGCTTACCTGTAATGTATTTTAGTAAAAGGTGGTACATCTTAACACGAGTTACATGAGGCACTGTGTTGTACCACTCCGGAAGCATCCTGTTATAGAATGTCCTGTGAGCGGTGCTCCCTGGAGTTGGGCATTGGTACAGGAGATACGGACAATCTGTGATGATTTTGGCTTCAGGAATATTTGCCATGTGTTGTTGTAGTCGGACAAATATTTTCTCATCTTTTACGGTACTTGTGTTTTTTTAAGATTCATCATAGTCTCTAAACAATGTCAGCACATCTAATTTTAAACAGCTTTTTCGTAGGCTTTAGAAATAAAAGCCGGAACTTTTTAGGACACAGGAAAGATATTGCTCTGTGCAATACATTTAAAGTCTGAAAACGCAGAGGTTTTCAAGTGAAAGGAGACTGAGAAGTCAAGAAGATAGTAGTGCTTTGAGCTAGAGTCAGATTTCTCTGCCGAATCAAGATTCTTAGAATTCTCAGTGCTTCTCAGTGCAGTGGGGAATTCTGCACGGAGATTTTTTTTTTAACTCCTTAACTTTTAAAAGCTTTTCTTCTAACTCACTGTACAGGAGGAATTTGCATAGAGTGGACAGTAGACAAGATCTCAGACTTGGTGTCTTACTTTAGAAGCCATGGTAGTTTAATGTTATGTGAAAAATGCACGTTTACTCATAATGGAGTGAGGAGGCACTGTTACTTTTATTTTATTTTTTATTATTATACTTTAAGTTCTAGGGTACATGTGCACAATGTGCAGGTTTGTCACATATGTATGCATGTGCCATGTTGGTGTGCTGCACCCATTAACTCGTCATTTACATTAGGTATTCCTCCTAATGCTATCCCTCCCCCCTTCCCCCACCCCATGACAGACCTTGGTGTGTGATGTTCCCCACCCTGTGTCCAAGTGTTCTCATTGTTGAATTCCCACCTATGAGTGAGAACATGTGGTGTTTGGTTTTCTGTCCTTGTGACAGTTTGCTCAGAATGATGGTTTCCAGCTTCATCCATGTCCCTAAAAAGGATATGAACTCATCATTTTTTATGGCTGCATAGTATTCCATGGTGTATATGTGCCACATTTTCTTAATCCAGTCTATCATTGTTGGACATTTGGGTTGGTTCCAAGTCTTTGCTCTTGTGAATAGTGCCGGAATAAACATACATGTGCATGTGTCTTTATAGCAGCATGATTTATATTCCTTTGGGTATATACCCAGTAATGGGATGGCTGGGTCAAATGGTATTTGTAGTTCTAGATCCCTGAGGAATTGCCACACTGACTTCCACAATGGTTGAACTAGTTTACAGTCCCACCAACAGTGTAAAAGTGTTCCTATTTCTCCACATCCTCTCCAGCACTTGTTGTTTCCTGACTTTTTGATGATCGCACATAAAAAGCCTTGATGAAGAATAAGAGAAGGTAATTGGAAGAATTTACCAACCAATAAAGAATATTTAAAAAAAAAAAAAAACAGAAAAAGAGGCCCAGAAATGTTAAGAGCAAAAAATGTTTTGTTAATCACCAAAAATTGCTGTTGGAAAACAAGATAATTTCTTTTCTAATTGTGTCTCTCATAAGCCTTCCTCAAATTTTACCTCTTCTGCAAAGTTTTCTCTTCCTCTCCATACTGAAATCTCTGTCTGAATTCCTGCAAACGATTTGAGAGCCTGTGCGGTATAGTAATGAAGTATTAAGATACAACCAGATCACCTCAGTTAGTATCCTAGCATCAATTAACCTTGGAAAATCCACACCACCTCTGTTTGCACTGATTTGCTCATTTAAGAATTGGATCCTAACAGTACCTACCTCATGTGGTCCTTATGAGTACGGAAACAGAAAACACATGGAAAGCCCATATGAGGACTCAATGAAAGGTGGCATTATTCTACTGTGTGCCGCAGGCTACAGCATTTGATTATTTGTTGTCATGGTCTGCCTGAATGGCTTTCTAAGGCATGACATATCAAGATTCTGAAACACATGCTGTTGTCTTTTTCCTTGGTTGGATTTTTCTATATCCATTGTATTTTTTTTAATGTAAATTTGCTGAGTTAGGAACTATATAATTTACTTGTTTATTTCTTACAGTCTTTGGTACAAAGCTAAGGATTTTTAGCCCTTAAAATTCTAGTTCTTAGATCTGCACGGGACTGCAGAATAATGTATTAGCTACAAGGACACTGAAGGCCCAGGGACCTGAAGTTCACGACCACGGCTCACACGGTCCATTGTACTTCCGACTATGTTATGTAATTCTTACCTTATTATAATAAAGAAAATCTAAAATTAGAATGACTTTTTTTTAAAGTACGAAGGTTTGATATGGTAAGAAAAAGGATCGAGCATTATTGTACTAAATTATATATAATCCAGTGTTTTTGAAAGGATAAACTTAATAAGTTGTAGCCATGATTTTTTTCTCATTGTTTTATAACTGCATAATTATAACTTTATTGTAACTTAACGGTTTTCTCCTAAATTAAGCATTGTATATTTTTGATGGCCTTTCGGTGAGTTGAATTTGGAATTATTTTCCATGTGCTGTTGCCCACTTTGAACTGACTGAACCTTTCTGTTTTAACAGGTTGTGGTGGAGAGCTGTCTGGGGCCACAGGCTCCTTCAGCAGCCCCGGGTTCCCCAACAGGTATCCACCAAACAAGGAGTGTATCTGGTACATTAGGACGGACCCCGGGAGTAGCATTCAGCTCACCATCCATGACTTCGATGTGGAGTATCATTCAAGGTGCAACTTTGATGTCTTGGAGGTAGGAAGTGAGATGGTTTTTTCAGCACATTCCAAAGTTTGGGGTAGAACAGGAAATCACTCTGCCAAGATTCCGAATTCTTTCCAGTAGTCAGCAGTGTTCTATTCTTAGACATTTTAATGAGCATCAGCCCTTCGGTGATCATTTGGTAGACATGGGATTAATGTGTGGTTTGGGTTTTCCTGAAGCAATGCCTGAGGGCCTTGCAGCAGCTGAGTTAGGAGGTAATGCCAGGAAGCCGGAGCCCAGGACGAGTGAGTGAAGGAAAGGAGGAGGGGGAACCAGCAGAGGGAGCCCCTGGGGGCAACTTGGGCTCCATCCGCTGGGACCTTCTGAAGGACCACAGTGGAGGCACTGGTCCGCCAACTCTGGTTCCCATTGGTAAGGACTGCACTTGGGATGGCTAACACCTCACACTTGCAGTCTGAGAAAGCTCCCCCAGAAAGAGCATTCGTGTGGCGGAGCATAGAGACTGGGCACTGCCAACAAGCACAGGGATGGCCTACCAGGGCTGCCGCTGCTCTTCAAGGGGCCGCCAGGGCCATCTGCCGCAGAGCGCTTTTGTAAAAAAATGGCCACCTAGGTAGCATGAGGCATTTGAAGATGAAAATTTTCCCAGCACTTCTGCGAAGGGTGTGTCTTGGATCATTAAAACAGTCTTTGAGAATCTTGAGCCCAAAAGTTTATTATAATCAATGTTTAATTGCAGGAATTTAGTCATTAGAATATGTGTGTGTGTGTGTATATATATATATTTTAAATATATAGCTTTAAAATATTTTGTTGTAGTTTATAAAATTATATAATTCATTATAATTATATAACGTACTATATAGTTACATTATTTATGTAATATTCTTATATAATTTTATAACATATATAGATATGTCCCAGATATATGTAATATATTATGTAGTATATTATATACTTACACTATAAATTATAATAATTAATAATTACAATAATTAATATTTATTATAACAGATTATTATATTATATATTTTAATGTAAGTATATAATACACTACATATTATGTAATATGTTATATATAGTTACATGTATGTAACACATTTATTATGTATACTTTGAACTTTGACCTGTCTGCAAACTTTAATATCTTCCAAATACACACAAAAATCCTGTGACCTCAGCTCTAGGGACTGCTGTAGCACAGCATGACAAGGATTCTATATCCAGTAGAACCTAAATTCCATGAGGCTAGATGTTTGTTTGCTTTGTTTTACTGCTATATTCCCAGCTCCACAGAGTACCTGGCAAAGAGTAAACACTCAATAGATGTTTGTGGAATGAATGAAAGCATCAACGTCTCTGATTGTCACACCATAATAATGCACATTTAGGGCACTGTACAGAGGAATTTTTACCTCCATGTTCTCATTTAAACATTAAATCGTTCCATGAGGTAAGAGGGGAATTTTATTCCCATTTTACAGTGGTCAAAACTAACGCTCAAAAAGATTAATGGGCTTTTCCATGACCACATGGAAGGGGAGTGGAAGAGCTAATAACTGAAGCCAGTCACTGCTCAACACTCCAGTAAATCCTGAGACCATAGATGGGTGCAGGGTGCAAGGGGTCGATATGAATAGTATGGACGTTACAGGAAACTTTAACAAAAACTTTAATTATAAAACAAGTTCTTACCTTGAAAAGAAATGGAATTATCCCCTCAGTGAGAGTCACTAGGAATTACTTTTAGTAATTCATCACTTTTAGTAATTTAGTAAAGTCATCCTTCTCAGTGAGAGTCACAAGGAATTACTTTTAGTGGCTCTAAAAGACTTACCATTTCTATCTCTGATTTCATTTACTGTAGCTCTACAGACAATTTACTATTGTAATTGTAAATGAAATCAGATAGAACTGGAAAGTCTTCACGGAAGGACTGTTGCCAAGTCATGACTCCATCTCAGAGGAGAAACAAGGTGCCTCCTGAAATTCACACTCACAGCACAAAGTAGGACTAGCATCCATGTGCAGAATGTTCAGATGGCCTCGCTCGCCTGCAAGGATATTGCTTGGTTGCATAAGACCCCTTATCACTTACAAAGGGCTGGAGGTGGATCTTCCACAGCTATGTGCAATGTTCCAAACCCTTTATTTTCATACTCCAAAGTGCATGTGATTGTTGCCCACTTGGCAAATTATAAATGGGCCAATTGTGTTTCGGGTTGTGTCATACCCATTACGGGAGAAAGTAGAGACAGGGGCTGTTCCCTACAAGCAGGCCTGGGGCCTCAGGGACGAAATCAGGGACTCCAGGCAGAAGCGGCTTTCAAGGAGAGCCCTATGCCTGACAGAAATGGCTGTGAGAAGACGCACAGTCTGCTTGGGGCTTATTTTTATTATGACAAGCTGACATTGCAGTGGCCTCCCGTGTTCCACCAAAAGCAGGGTTTGGGGGACTGTTCTGAGGCTCTTAAATATTTGGGGAAAGTTTTTTTCTGAAAGCTAAAAGGAGCAACCCTCTGACATTTTGTTCAAAAGCCTTGTTTTGCTTTTCTGCAAATGTTCATTTGGAAAACGCTGTAATAAAATTGGGCTAATGGTGGTGGAATGGTTTTTTTCACCCCTCCCTAGCTGCTGATAACATGTTAGTAGTGGGTTTAAAAGTTTGTTACCCATGATGGGCATGTGATCTAAAAACTTTGCTGACTTTCTCAGCCTGCATGTGAGTGTAGTCAAGTGGGGCCTTACAGCCACTAAGTATTGGGCTTACCTGGGTTTCACAAAATTTATTCAGAAGCCATTTTTCCCTTGAAAAATCAGAGTCCGGAAAGTGGCCCATTGCAAAAAGCAGCAGCTGTTTGGTTACTCATAACCCCGGAATGCTGACTTGATTGTAACAATAAATGGAGCTAACAGAGCAGAAAGAAATGTTCAAAACAGATTAAAACCATAGGCTTTGAAATGTCCTCCATCCTGAGCATTTGCTAAAACACATTTTTAAATCTCTGATCATCAGACCACTTCTTTTTCCCCCAAAGTTTAGTCATATGCTGTAGTTGAATGAACCATGCCCTGAAATTCTTTCCATCTTTTTCTTCTTTTGAAGAGTCATGTACTATCGGTTTTATTTGTGGAAGCCAGAAGGACCATTGTTTCGGTCATGGAAACACTCTGCCTGATTTTACTTTAATCTCTGAGAAAGTCTTTAGAGAGATTCTGAACTGGCATTAGGCAGAAAAGGAAATCCACTCCTTGGAGCAGTAAACCAGGACAATTGCTTGGTGTGGACAGTTACCTCAGTCTGGCCTCTCTGCGATAGGCTTTTGTGAGCTCAGCCTTGCAAGAAGGGAAGTAAATAATGTCCAAAGTGGCAGTGTTTATTCTTCTAGAGGCTTCTGGGTCCAGCCAACTCATACCCATTATGTTTGTGATCTCAAGGGGATGTTTGAGCAGAGAAAACAAAGAATATTTTGCCGACGTGCGAGTTTTCTTTGTTAGAACTTAACACTTGGCGTTCAGTGGTCTTTCCAAATATGTGCTGTTGATTGGGCTTGGGTGATTGGGAGCACATGCTGTCAGTTTCATGCTGTGGGGACTGTGCCCTAGGCGAGGGGGTAGGGAGATCTTGAAAATGGGAAAGAAAGCTGGCTCTACACACCATGCAAGCTTGCTTCTGCCATTTGCATATGTGTACGTGTCAGGGGCCACACAGGGCTCTTCCTAAAGCCCTGCTTTTGATGGGACTTGGGGGGAGTGCACAAACATCAGCTCCTCCTAATAAAAATAAGCCTGAAGCAGTCGGTATGCTTCATTCCTTTGCAATTACTGTCCTTGTGCTCAGCCCTCTGTGTAACAGCCGTTTCATTCATTTTGGCCTTTACCGGATGGCTGGGGGGAATTAATCAGACAAAGAAATCATTATAGATTCAAATCACACACTCCTCCCCAAAGTAGGCTTCTTGTTCTCACTCCCTCTCCCCAGAGAACACTTGAGTGATTTTCCTATCAGTCAGCAGTGGGTCCTGAGGGTGGGCAAGGGCCGGGGGTGCTGAGGAATGGGGGCAGAGTGTCCCGAGGTGGGGGAAAGGCACAGAGGGAGGGTGGGAGGGCGCTGTGCCCAGATCCCCCTGAGAGCCGCCTTCCTGGCTCTGGTCCTGAGTGCCTGTACATGGATGGCTGCAGTTGCAGTTATGAAGGTCTCAGATACCAACTCTTTGAAAACTGTCTCCCAAAGATGGTCTTTCTTTTACAAATCGAAGTTTGAAAAGACCTGAAGATGAGGAGTCAGCATCTTCTATTTGATTCCCATCCTGCCTTCGCCACCCTCCCCAGCCCCACACATACACACAGGAGATAAACAGGACCCAGAGGAGACTGAGAAACCTGTCTGTGAGGCCTCCTGGAGGCCTGGCCTAGGCTATCCTTGCCTGCAAGATGCCCTCCGTGAGCCCAAGGAGACTCTTTCCAGAGGACTATGTCACTGGGGTATTGGATTCCAGTCAGACAGACAGTTTGGGAGATTTGGAGGAGCCTACGTGGTCTGAAGTCATGTGTGATAGATCTAGAAGTGAAACAAGAGAGTTCCCTGACCACCCCGTCGCAGGACCTGTGACAGGGGTGTGGCACATCTGTTCGGCTGTGGTGCCCTCAAACCCCTTATGGGAGGGGGAGCATGCAGATTGGCAGGTGCAGGAACCCAGGCAAGATGCTACCCACAGTACGGTCTAGTGGTGGGTGCCTGTGACTCTCAAAGCCCTCATGGGCAGGCTACAGTATTCTTTTAGCTCTGCCATCCACAGAGGGCTCAAGTGTTAACCAGCTCAGTGACTCTTGGTACCCGACTTCCTGTCTGGCATCCAGGAAGAATCAGGTCACACACGGACTTGAAGGATGGTGAATGTGGGGATTTTATTGGGCGATGGAGGTAGCTGTCATTGGAATGGATGGGGAACTGGAAAGGGGATGGAGTGTGAAGATGATCTTCCCCATAGAGTTTCGCTGTGCTGTGGATGATCAACTGTCTGACCATCCCCGGCCAAACTCCTCTCAACGTTCAGATGCTCCTTCTCTCTCCTTCTCTGCCACGTTGTTCTTCTCCTCCTCTGCTCTTCTATTCATCTGCCCATCTGCTCGTGGAGCCTGGAGTTGGAGGTTTATATGGGTACAGGAGATGGGGACGTGGCAGGCCAAAAGGCAACATCTGGGTGTGGAAACAAGAATGCCTGTTCCCGTTTAGGGCCGTGGGTTTCCAGGCTTGGGGATGGGGCCTTTGCCAGGGAACCTCCCTCTTCTACCCAGTGTTTCCCTGTCTGCTGTCTATATCAGAAGGAGCCATCTGGAGACTAAGGCAGAGTCTAGGGCAATCCCTGAGCAGAAAAGTGGGATGCACTTAGTCAGGTTCCTGGGCATGGGCGTGCTGGGAGCAGGCACAGGGAGGGTGCATAGCATCCCCTTCCTTAGGCTCCAAAACACACCCAGAGAGCTGGTATTTCCACTCCTCCTAAAGAAGCATACGTGTTATATTCAATGTGTGGTCTTAGAAAACATTCAGTTTGCAGGGTAGGTGGAAATTCCTAAAAATATAACTGGGATATTGGTAGCCTTCAGTGAACTCAACTTTCATAACAAAATGGCTTTATGCTAAGACTAATCATATGTGCCAGAGTTAGAAAATCAGACATTTCTTTTTTTAAAGGTCCCCCTAAAATTCAGAAAATCGACTTAATATTGTATGATCTGTAATGTTTCTGCTAGAGAAAGCAGGAAAGCCCACAAAGACATGAAAAAGACAAAAAGAGGAGATAGGGAAGATTCTGGAATAATCTACTCCGTCCTCCTCTGCAATTCTGGCTGATGAAACAAGCAGGCATTTTATGGGTGATTGAACTTGTGTGTTCCTAAGGCACAGGGAGTGCCTTTGAAAACTCAGCTCAAGTTTATAGTGCATCCCCACCCAGGGAGGCTGAGATTTCAATCTCTAATAATCATAGAACCCAAGGAGCCGGGGGTCAAAATGAGCCAGAGCAAGGGCCTGTAATTGCTTAAAATATTTTTTAAAGTCTTTTTTCCTACATCCCATGTTAGATCTATGGAGGCCCCGATTTCCACTCTCCCAGAATAGCCCAACTGTGTACCCAGAGATCACCTGAGAACCCCATGCAGGTCTCCAGCACTGGAAATGAGCTAGCAATTCGATTCAAGACCGACTTGTCCATAAATGGGAGAGGCTTCAATGCGTCATGGCAAGCAGTCACTGGAGGTGAGTGAGAAAAGGAGGTTTCCTAAAGTACTTAAGCCGAGCCCTCGTTAAATTTCATGAAATGCTTGGGAAAACGTATGAAGGCTACACACTTATAACTTAGTGACATCCCAAAGGGCAGCCTACTGAGACCTGACATATACCCTTCCCTAAAATACGTGATAAAGTTTAACTTCCTAAGGGTCACCACATATGTGAAAGCAAGAATGTAAGTGTGTAAGTCCATGGTGAGAGCAGAACTAGGGTGATAGGCCAGACCCACTCTCCAAGGGCTCGTACCTCTTAACCAGCCTCCATACCTCATGCCATAGTACAGACCTTTAGATTCTTGGCAAATATCAAACTTGCAAACATTAAATTTGTGAATCCCAAGGAATTACTGTGTGTTCTATGGTGACTTTCTGCCCAAGATTTTAGGCAGTCTAAATAAATTGCCTATTGTATATTTTTAAACTATAGCAAAAATCTATGGCACAAAATAGTGTAACAGATGTTAGCATATGCAACTACTAGAGATAGCCACATTTGCAGAATGCTTACTGTGTACTAGGCACTTTTCTAACTATTTTATGAGGATTATCTCTAGTCCTTACAACCACCCTGTGAGGGAAGTCCGCTTCATATCCTCATCTTACCAGTGTGGACACTGAAGCTTAGAAAGGTTAGTGTCTTGCCCAAAGTTCCACAGCTAGAAAACGTCAAAGCACATATGTGATTCCAGACTACCTTATGGCCACACTTCTTCAACTCTATCATAACCAAGGTATCTATATAAGAGCTCTCCCCTAAAGTTAATTATGTAGGAATTTAAATAAACACACACACACACACAGACACACACATTTAGTGTTTAGATTACCCCTGAATGATTCTCCATTATTAGAAAATAGTGCCAAAGTTTTCTATTATTGGCTTATATTATCATAAATCCAAGAAATGGTGGGTCATAGAGAAGACATTGAACTAACAGGTATTTGATAACATCAAAGGAATTTTAAAAAACCTAAGTAACTGTACTATATCCGAATATTAAATTTTTAAAGGGTAGATATTAAATTATTTTTAAATGCATGCACTACTAGATTATCACAATTCTTGGAAGGAAACATGTTATTCTTCCAGTATGCTATATTTTTAGAGGACAGTGAAGAAGCAGCATTCCATGGCTTTGTGAAAACGTGATTTCATTTGCGTTTCCTTTTAATTATTTTTAAAATAAATTTTGGCATCTGTATTTAAAGTGTTTGAAGTATTTTCTTAGTATCATCCATGTCATCCCTTCTTATTCTGTTGGGATAAATGGCTTAATGTGGATATCAAATTCTTCAGTGTTTTTAGCATCGACTAACTGATTCAAGCAAAGTAATGTATTGATCTATACAACCAGGTAATGGATTATTTTCGAGCATCCATGATTCCTCTCATGAAATAATTGTGTTCCCCACTTCCAGGTTGTGGTGGGATTTTCCAGGCTCCCAGTGGAGAGATTCATTCTCCAAATTACCCCAGTCCTTATAGGAGCAACACAGACTGTTCTTGGGTCATTCGGGTTGACAGAAATCATCGTGTTCTCTTGAACTTCACTGACTTTGATCTTGAACCACAAGACTCTTGTATTATGGTAAGTGACATAAATTTCAAGCATTGTCTCCAGTCAAACCTCGGTCAAAACACTGCCATATAAGCATATTTAGTGAATGTATTACTTATGGGTGTTTTTAATGTCGATTCATAGGAAACCAAACTATTGGCAACTTAAAATATAAGGACATTTATTTTTTACCTAAAAACAAATCAGGAAGTAGATAATCTCTAGGTTTTTTAGCAAGTCAGTTTCTGCGCTACCATTATTAGCCTGTTGGCTTTTCATTTTGTTGTTACTTCATTGTCAAAAAATGGCTGCAGTGGTTTTTATCTGAATGTCCTACCTGAGTCTACCTCTGAAAAAAGGAAGAAGCAATAGTGTTAACTATTTCTGTTTTGTTTGTGTTTCTTTTAATAAGGAAAGCAAATTTTCCAAAAAAGCCCCTGATATATCATTAGCCAGAACTGACTACAAAAGAGATCCAGAAAGTATCATGGAATAGATTTATCATAAATGTTTTAGATCAATTATTATTATTAAGCATCTGGGATTTTCACAGGATTCTGCTTCTCTTGAGACAAGGATATCTTGATTTGCTACTTGAACAAATCCATGTTCTGATAGAACAGGTTGGGAGATGGGAGTGGAGGAGAAGGAATATGGCTATGAATTGGTCAGATGACAAAAAGAGTTTCTGCTACTGAGATGGGAGGGTTTCCTTGACTCCTTTACAGGACTTGCGAAGGGGGTGGCTTATTTGCTTGGCTGCCTCGCTGAATTCAGGAGGGAGCACACGAATAGACGAATGCAGGAACCGGGGTGAACGAACCCTAGAACTGGCTGGTCCCTCATCTCTGGTGGGAGCAGGCTCTGTGCACGGCCCACGGCAGCGTCCAAGCTTGTTACAATGCTCTTTTAGCTCTGCCATCTCGGAGAGGGTGTCTGCGACCCCAAAAGCCCCAAAGGGCATGTGTTGCAATCAGTGCTCTTTTAGCATTTGCCGTCCATGGACAGCTAAGTGTTAACCAGCTCAGTGGAGGGTCAGGGTGACAGCCTTTTACACCCTGACCTCTTGGTACCCAAGTTCTTGTCCAGTGTCCAGGAAGAATCAGGTCACACGAACAAATTGAAGGGTGGTGAATGTGGATAACTTTATTAAGAGGTAGAAGTGGCTCTCAGCAGGAAGGCGAGCTTGAAAGAGGTTGGAGGAAGTGGGTTGCAGGAGTCTGGCCTTCCTTGGCTGAACTCCTCTCTGACCATAGTCTCCGATGTCCAGCTCCTTCTTCTCCTCTTGACGTTCAGACACTTCTCTCTTCTGTGTGTGTGTGTGTGTGTGTGTGTCTGCTGAGTCTGGGGCTTGGAGTTCTTATGGGCACCAGATGGGCGCAGGGCAGGCCAAAAGGCAACATTTGGGTGGGAAAACAGGGATGGTTCTCACTTTGAGTGGCAGATCCAGGCTTGAGGGTGGAGCACTCACCAGGGACCTCAACCTCTTCTACCAAGCATTTTCCTGCCTTCTGGCCCATCACTACTACCAACACTTTTAATGCATTCCTACCTGAAACTAATGCTTTGCGCTTCATATAAGAGTGAATGAAGTTCTATTTTGAAGGGTTTTTTTTTTCTTTCTGTTTTTAAATTTTTTGGCTACCTAATTTTCTTTTATTATTGTTATTATTATTATACTTTAAGTTCTGGGATACATGTGTAGAAGCTGCAGGTTTGTTATATAGGTATACACGTGCCATGGTGGTTTGCTGCACTCATCAACCCGTCATCTACATAAGGTATTTCTCCTAATGCTATCCCTCCCTTAGCCCCCCACCCCTCGACAGGCACCGGTGTGTGATGTTCCCCTCCCTGTGTCCATGCGTTCTCATTGTTCAACTCCCACTTACGAGTGAGAATATGCGGTGTTTGGTTTTTTGTTCCTGTGTTAGTTTGCTGAGAATGATGGTTTCCAGCTTCATCCATGTCCCTTCAAAGTACATGAACTCATCCTTTTTTATGGCTACAAAGTATTCCATGGTGTATAGGTGCCACATTTTCTTTATCCAGCCTATCATTGATGCACATTTGGGTTGGTTCCAAGTCTTTGCCATTGTGAATAGTGCTGCAGTAAACATACGTGTGCATCTCTCTTTATAGTAGAATGATTTATAATCCTTTGGTTATATACCCAGTAATGGGATTGCTGAGTCAAATGGTATTACTGGTTCTAGATCCTTGAGGAATTGCCACATTGTCTTCCACAATGGTTGAACTAATTTACACTCCCACCAACGAGTAAAAACGTTCCTATTTCTCCACATCCTTGCCAGCATCTGTTGTTTCCTGACTTTTTAATAATTGCCATTCTAACTGGCGTGAGATGGTATCTCATTGTGGTTTTGATTTACATTTCTCTAAGGACCAGTGATGGTGAACTTTTTTTTTCATATGTTTGTTGGCTGCATAAATGTCTTCTTTTAAGTGTCTGTTCATATCCTTTGCCCACTTTTTGATGAGGTTGTTTATTTTTTTCTTGTAAATTTGTTTAAGTTTCTTGTAGATTCTGGATATTAGCCCTTTGTCAGCTGGATAGATTGCAAAAATTTTCTCCTATTCTGTAGATTGCCTGTTCACTCTGGTGATAGTTTCTTTTGCTATGAAGAAGCTCTTTAGTTTAATTAGATCCCATTTGTTAATTTTGGCTTTTGTTACCATTGCTCTTGGTGTTTAAATCATGAAGTCTTTGCCCATGCCTATGTCCTGAATGGTATTGCCTGGGTTTTCTTCTAGGGTTTTTATGATTTTAGGTTTTACATTTAAGTCTTTAATCCA